>NC_000004.12:111345623-111497138 GCF_000001405.40 Homo sapiens
GACCACAAAGCCAGAAATAGACTACATGTTAAGTCTGTTGGAACTGAACAAATATTCCTTTTCCATTGCTCTCAAAACAAGGGAAGGTCCCTGTCAAAGAACTAACATGGTATTACTGACCAGGTGGACCTTGTCCTCAACAAAACTTATAAAATCTTGGAGTCAGTGAGAGCTCATGTCTAAATACTTCTCTGATCGACCTAGGACACTAGATGGTCTGAAAAAACAGCATTGAAATAAAATTATTTCAAAGTGTTTACATCACAAAAGACTAAACTTTTTAAATTGCTCCATTAATTATTTGTATTAAAAAGGAATAATCAAGAACCTATTTCAAACTTTACTGAAAGCATTCTCTTATCACTGTGAATAGACAGAGCCCTTTGTCCCAGAGTCCATTAGGCTCAACAAGAGAGCTGATGGCACATTAAATAGCCACCAGTTTGATTTCTCACTTCCAAACAAGAAACATGAATACTAGGGAGTGTACATGTCCTATTAGGTATCACACAATTCATTACTGGAAGATCCAAGTCTAAATCTCAAATATATTTATTCCATGAACTCCAAGAATGCCCCAAAATATTCTCAGTTCTATGTATCAATGGGACCGCATATGCGTTCAAAGTTTTGTTATGGTCTTCTTGGCTTTGTTTTATTTGTTAAATGATGTCAATGATAATTTTTTACAACGTAAAGTTAAAGATAAAATCAATTCCCTAGAAAAGGAAGAAATGAAATCATAAGCAGCAATTTCTTCCCAGCTCTCTGCAGAAATGGATGATGCTCAGAGACAGATAATTACACCCAATAGTTTAGTTTTCTGAGCCCAAATTTACTTGCTAGTAATCTGAAACTCTCTCTTTCCCTATAATGGATCTGGAGAAATTTGCACACTATATCATTGTAATTATTACTATTTTAAAATTTATAAGTATCTAGCATGTGCACATTATACCATGAGTCTCCTAAATTTGTTAGAGGCCATAATTACATTATCATTTTATTATTATTATCTTTCTTTAAGGATAGTGATTTTTGTCAAATACATGAGCATACTGATTTCATTTATTTTGTTTTACTTATTACAAGTATGTGACCAAAGAGAAGAGAGAGTTGTTAAAATATACATAAAAGCTAATAAAAAGTTGTGTTGTTTTAATTTTTCTCATGAATACTATTAACCATTTAGCAACAACTTCATCATGTATACCAGTGAATCCACATAACTGAACTGGCTTTTCAGGTCAGTAAATATGCTCTCTTAGAAAATGTTTACTTCGGGTTTACTTAGAAAATGTTTTACAAGTCCTCTCTTCTAGCCGTTTTGAAATATACAATACATTGATGTTAACTATAGTCACCCTATTCTGCTATTGTGTATTGTAACTTATTCCTCCTATCTAATTTTACATTTGTTTCCACTAACCGACCTCTCTTGACTCCACAACCCTGCCATTCCCAGACTGGTAACTATCATACTACTTTCTACCTCCCTGAGATAAACTTTTTTGTAGCTATTGTAAATGGGATTGCATTCTTGGACTATCTTTTTCAGGTTGTTCATTATTGATGTATGGAAACACTATTGATTTTCATATGTTGATTTTGCATCCTGCAAGCTTACTGAATTTGTTTATCAGATTTAGTTTTTTGGGGGGAATCCTTAAGGTTTTTAAATATTCGATCATATCTGCAAAGAAGGATAATTTGACTTCCAGTTCTTCAATTTAGATGCTTTTTATTTTTATTTTTCTTGCCTAATTGCTCTGGCTAGTACTTTAGTACTGTGTTGAATAAGAGTGATGAAAGTGGGCTTTCTTGTCATATTCTAGTTCTTAGAGGAAAAGCTTTCATCGTATCCCCCTTCAGTATCATGTTAGCTATGAGTTTGTCATACATGGCCTATATTATGTTGAGGTATACTCCTTCTATGCCTAGCATGTTGAGAACTTTTATCATGAAGAAATGTTAGTTTTATCAAATGCTTTTCTGCATCTATTGAGATGATCATATAGTTTTAGTCCTTCATTTTGTTAATGTGATATATCATGTTTATTGATTTGTATATGTTAAAATATCTTTGCTTCCCTGGTATAAATCCCACTGGATCATGGTGTATTATCTTTTTTGATGTGTTATGGGATTGATTCAGTTTCCTAGTATGTTGTTGAGAATTTTTGTGTCTATGTTCACCAGGAACATTGGCCTGTTGTGTTTTTTTTCTTGGTTGTTGTTGTTGTTATGTCCTTGTATAGCTTTAATATCAGGGTAATGCTGGTTTTATAGAATGAGTTAGGGAGAATTCCCTTCTCATCAGTTTTTTTTTTTTTTTTTTGGAGTGGTTTGAAAATAATTAGTGTTAGGTTTCTGGTAGAATTTGGCATTGAAGCCATCAGTCTGGGCTTTGCTTTGTTGGAAGATTTTGTATTACTGATTCAACATTGTTACTAATTATTGGTCTATTGAGGCTTTCTATTTCTTTCTGATTCAATCATGTTAGGTTGTATATGTCTAGGAATTGATCCCTTTTCTGTAGGTTTTCAAGTTTCTTAACATATAGTTGTTCATAATAATCTCTGATTATCTTTTGTATTCTTGTAGTGTCAATTCTAAGGTTTCCTTTCTTATTTCTGATTTTGCTTGAGTCTTCTATCTTATCTTCTTTGTTACTCTAGTTAGTGGTTTATTAATTTTGCTCATCTTTTCAATAAGCTCACTTTTCATTTTGTTGATCCTTTGTATTATTGTTTTAGTCTCTATTTCATTTAATTCTGTTCTACTCTTCATTATTTATTTTTTCTACCTTTTGGGGCTTGGTTTGTTTTTGTTTTTCTAGTTCCTTCAGGTGCATTGTTAGGTTGTTTATGTGAAATCTTTCTACTATTTGGAAGTAGGAACTTCTTGCTATAAACGTCCCAGTTAGCATTGTATCCCATAGGTTTTAGTATGTTGTGATTCCATTTTCATTTGTTTCAATAATTTTTAAAATTTCCTTTTTAATTTCTTTATTAATAGTCATTTAGGAACATGTATTTGTCTAATTTCCATATATTTGTACAGTTTCCAAAGTTCCTCTTGATAATGACTTCTACTTTTATCCTATCGTTTCTGAGAAGATACCTCATATGATTTCAGTTTTTAAAAATTTGTTGAGACTTGTTTTGTGGCCTAACATATCCTGGAGAATTTTCCTTTTGCTGATGAGAAGAATATGTATTTTATAGCTATTTGATAAAATGTTCTATAAATGTGAATGTTAGTTCCATTTGGTCTAAAGTCTCATTTAAATCCAGTGTTTCTTTGTTTTCTCTCTAGATTATCTGTTTAATGCCATGAGTCAGGTGTTGAAGTCCCCAACTATTTTTGTATTCAAATTTATCTTTTCTTTTAGATCTAATAATATTTGCTTTATATATTGGGGTGCTCCAGGGTTAGGTGCATATATATTTTGAATTATCATATACTCTTGCTAAATTGATCCCTTTGTCATTATGTAATGACCTTCTTTGTCTCTTCTAAATGTGTGTGGTTTTTTTTTGTTTTTTGTTTTTTGTTTTTTTTTTTTTTGCGGAGTCTTGCTCTGTCACCCAGGCTGGAGTGCAGTGGCACAATCTTGGCTCACTGCAAACTCCACCTCCCAGGTTCACACCATTCTCCTGCCTCAGCCTCCTGAGTAGCTGGGACTACAGGTGCCCGCCACCACGACTGACTAACTTTGTTTTTGTATTTTTAGTAGAGATGGGGTTTCACCATGTTAGCCAGGATGGTCTCGATCTCCTGACCTCGAGATCCGCCCACCTCGGCCTCTCAAAGTGCTGGAATTATAGGCTTGAGCCACTGCACCTGGCAGTCTCTTCTTAATGTTTTTAACTGTTTTTAACTTAAAGTATGTTTTATCTGATATAAGTAAAGCTACTCTTGCTAACTTTCAGTTACTGTTTGTGTGGAATATCTTTTTCCATCCATTTACTTTCAGCCTATATGTGTCTTCACAGATGAAATGAGTTTCCTGTAGGAAGCATATAGTTGGGTCATTTTTTAAAAAATATCTATTCAGCCAGTCTCTATCTTTTAAGTGGAAAATTTAATCTGTTTACATTCAAGATTATTATTGATATGCAAAGACTTATTTCTGTCTTTTTATTAATTGATTTCTGGGTGTTTTCTATATCCTCTGTTCCTTTTCTTCTCTCTTATCATTTATCATTGCAGTTTGGCATTCTTCTGTTTTGATAAACTTTGAGTTCTTTGTCTTCATCATTTATTTGCTCTACCAGTGTGTTTTATATGTTCATGTGTTTTATGATACTAGATATCCTTTTGTTCTGCTTCCAGGCATAGGACTTGCATAAGCATTTCTTGAAGGGCCCCACAAGGGGTGATAAATTTTCTCAAGTTTTTCTTGTCTGGGAAAGACTATTTTTACTTCATTTATGGAGAACAATTATTCTGGGTATAGTATTCTTAGCTGATAGTTTTTTTTTTCTTTTGTCATCCTCAGGGCAAGTGCAAGTATGCTGTGGTCTTGATGCTAATGAGAGCAGAATTTCTGTCATTGGTAGTGGCTACAGATAGGCAGCTTTCAGGCTCTGGGAAGCACACACTTCGGCTCCCTTTGACCCAGCCTTCCTAGTGTGATACACTACCCATTCCTTGGAGTTTAGGGCACTGTGTGGGCTAGAGTTCTGGAGAACTTACTGCACTGCTGAGTGGTAGGGTATCACACCACTGAAGCCCTCCAGTTGGACATGGGGGATGTCAAGGAGGTAGAGATACAGGTATTGTTAGGCCCCAGGACGGGATGCAGTCTGGTGGGGTGTGGGCTCTCAAGATGGTGTGTGATGCAGCTATATGTCTCAGGGTTGTGTGGGACTCAACATGAGCTCCCTCTCTAAGCACTGCTCTCACACAGACACCAGGCAGCTCCTATATTAGTTGCAGGGCCCCTAAGGATGGAGAGGGCTTTTCTATGGCTAGGATTACAGAAGGCTGTGATGATTCTGGCTGGGCCAACTGCCTTACTTCTCTCTGCTTATGTGCCTAAGGTGTTTCCTATCACTTCTCTGCTGAATTCAGTGTTCTTAAGTAGATGCTCTATTCAGAGTGGGATTATCTGCTCACTGATTTGGTTCTTCTCTGTGGGGAGGGTAAGTGTCAAATGCCTCTAGTCAGCCCCCTTGAAGGTCCCTCCTCCATTTCAGTTTTTATGTATTAACCTTGTATATTAACTAGTATAGATGGATGAATAATATGAAGATTCTCTAAGTATGAAGGGAAATGTATACCAATGCTAGCAATAATCATTGTGGGGCAAAGTAGCAATCAAGGTTCAGTAGTGAGGGGCTGGCATAGACAAACTATGGTTAGGTGCCATTTTTGTTGCTTTCAAGTACAGTAGGAATATTTTATGTTCTAGTATCCATATTACAATGGATATGGATCTGAATCTTATTTACATTTAGCACATATGCAAATAAGATTAGTTTTAATCACAAATATGTAAAAAAGAATTGGCTAGAAAAACAGAAAAATCAGATAACCAGTAAAAATAGTTAATACCTTCTCCTATAAATGAGAAAGGTATGGAATTTGTGACATTAAACTGAATATGTGCATATAATTTGACATATGAACATCAACAGGATTTTCATTATTTTCTTCAATTTATGAAAGCCAAAAATATTTTGGGAATATGATTTTGTAAAAAATTTAAAAATTAATGTTAAAATCACTCTCTCATATTTGAATATTAATATTTTTAATCTTAAAATGTACATTATAGCATTGAAGAGTCTATTTTATATGGACTCAAGCCATCCTTATAAATCAAAGAGCAAATGGTTTTACCTTCACAATCTTCTGTTCATGGTAGCAAGTACAAGGTGAGAGAAGTGTACATTAACATCTATATTTCTGGAGTATTAAGGACTTTTGAGGAGCTTTTTAATGTACACTCTCCAGTAATACCATGAATGCTTTCAGAAACTTTCTAAAGAGAAATAAAGCCTAATAAATTTGCAATATACTAATTACTATAGATAATGCATAGCTTCACATTTATCAGTCAAATTTTCTGTACAATATTTGTCCTTATATTTAACAATTTTCAGAGACATTGAGTACTATATTTGACATTTTATTGGAACATTTAGTACTGGGTAGACTTACAGGGTTTAAAGAATCATTGCTCTATGTTTTTATATAAGTAAAGTAGTAAGAGAATGGCTTGTTGGTGTCATTTACAATTTACACAATATTTTTCAATGAGATGTGGCTTTCTAAGAAAAACATATACAATACTTAGCTAATTAGGCTGGGTGCTGTGGCTCACACCTGTAATCCCAGCACTTTGGGTGGCTGAGGCAGGCAGATTACCTGGGGTCAAGAGTTCAAGACTAGCCTGGCCAACATGGCAAAACCCCGCCTCTTCTCAAAATACAAAAATTAGTCGGGTGTGGTGATGTGTGCCTGTAGTCCCAGCTACTAGGGAGGCTGAAGCAGGAGAATTGCTTGAACTCAGAAGGTGGAGGTTGCAGTGCTCCGAGGTTGTACCACTGCATTCCAGCCTGCATGACAGAGCAAGACTCCATCTCAAAACAACAACGACAACAACAACAACAACAACAATATGTAGCTTATATAAAGTGCTCTCAGATACTTTTTTTTTAAAATTCAACAACACAACAAAAATTTTAGTGTGTACTATATCCTTGCACTCAAAGATTTTGCAATCTGTTTGGGAAGACGGGCATGCAAACAAAACAAATTACACAAGTAGTATGTTATTCGGGCTTGACTAAGAATACAAAATATTGTGGTTCCACCAGTGTAGAAGATATTAATTCTAATAATTACAGAAGAATCTAATTTATAATTTTATGATGCCCAGGGCATAATTTTTAAATGGAAGACAACAAACCCATGAGTTTCTCTTGAACATGTGCCCAACTATTTAATAATTTTTGACTAAATATATACTTTTAAAAATTTTTATTTTAAAATAAATAGCATTTAAGTAACTTTTAAATAAAGAGATACTTTTTAAATAGTAAGAGTTTTATTATTACCATTATTTAAAATAGAGAAACATAAATAAATATATTATCGCTATTAGGATTTTTCTCTTTTTCCCTCATCTCTAGGGACATAAAATATGTAGGATAGTCTATGAACCTACAAAGTCATCCAAAAGATTGATAGATTTTGTTAGATTCATTCCAACTGCTTTTCCTCTGGTTCCTAACCTGTTAGCAAAATCAAAGTTGATTTCACACAGTATGTGCTGCTTCCCACTTACATAGCAGGGGGAATTTATGTTCCAGAAAACCTTTGGTGAAAGTTGGATTTAACCTCACAGCAGCAGTAGGTTGAAATTAGACCCTTAAATAAACAGAGTTATATCTTGGCCAAAAAAGAAACCCTCCGAGAAGATTTGTAAATGCTTTAAATTTATCTTTAAGGAGGACACCAAAGCTGAGGATTCAGAAACAAAAAACACAGCTCAGTTGTGATTCACATCAGCCATAAAAAATGAACAGGGACAAGGACTGGGCAAGAAGGAGACCCATTGGGTATACCCTGTTCAAACACCACTTCCCAGTACTGTCACTTTGCAAAGCTTTTATAATAGCACACCATCAGGAGAAGGAAAATGGCCATGTCATAGATCACAGATCAGTGACAACATGGACAGGACTAAAGGCGTGGTGACAGATTCCTTGCTTCTGCAATGATTTAGAAAAATAAAAATCTCACAGTATTACAGCTTTCTTAGGCAAGCTCCGAATTATGAAATGTGTGTGTGTCTACAAATTATATAAAAGACTAGCTGTACATGTTACTTTCTTTATCTGTTAGATTTTTAGAAGACACAAGTAAGAGTGCATGAAATTATTTCAGGCATAAAACAAGAAGCAATTATTACTCACTTTTACAACTGCTATAAATGAGAAATAAAGAGGTCAATAGAAATTGAAATGAGGAAGTTTGTTTAATTTTGGAAGTTAGGGAAGATTCTTCTAGGTATATAATATCTAAATAGATATCACAAAGATCATTTGTTATTCAGGTGAAGAATGAGGGCAGGAATTTATCAGGCAGTGGGACTAGCATGTGTGAAAATCAAGGAGTGTGGCAAAAGCATGCTGGCTTCACATAACTGAATCACAGGAGGTCCATATGTGTGAGGCTTGGAGGGTAAGGGAAACAGTGATAAGAAAGGAGGCTTAGGAGGGAAGCAGGTGACAGTCTATGCAATTTCTGACAGCTACGTTAATGCTTTTGAACTTTTTTTTACTAAGTTCAATAGGATTGCATTGAAGAGTTGCATAAGAAGACTGATACGATCAGATTTTCTTTGAGAAAGCTTACTCTGACTGGTGATTGGAGAATGAATTGGGGTGGGCAAGAGAGAAAACAGTGAGTACAGTTAGGAGATGAGACAATCCATTCCTTTTTATTATAAGATCTTTGATTTTGTCTAGAGTAACAATTTGCCCAGCCAAAGAGATATAAACAGAAATTACTGAGTGGGAACATTTGGGGGAAATTTTATAGTAAAGAGGGTTTGCTATCATTTGAATGTATTTGTCTCTCTAAAATTCATATGTTGGAACTTAAAGCCAAAGGTGTTGGTTTTGAGAGGTGAGGGTTTGGGGAATTGTCCAGGCCATGAGGGCTCCATCCTCATGAATAGGATTAATGCTCTTATAAAAGAGGATTCAGAGAGCTGCCAACACCTTCCATCTCCCCTGCCATGTGAGGACACAACAAGAGGCGGCATCTATGAAACAGAAAGAGAGCTTTCACCAGACACTACATCTGTTGGTGCCTTGATCTTGAACTTTCCATCTTCTAAAACAGTGAAAAAATAAATTCCTGATATTTGTAATTTACCCAGCCTGTGGTATTTTGCGATAGCATTACAAATGGATTAAGGCAGGATTAGATTTAGCAAGCACCCCCACATTTGGTACTTTGGTCTTCCCTTCTTCCTTTTGGAATATGGACTTGATTACTGGAGCTCATGTTCATGATATAGCCATGAGGAAAGAATCTCAGTATAGCAGATCAAAGATGACAGGCAAAGAGCTGAAGGAAACCCAGGTTCCCAGTGGCACGAAGGAGCCATATATGAGCTCTGGATAATCTAACTCTAGGTTCTTTATTTTATAAGGAAAATAACCTACTAATTAGTTTAAGCCACTGTTTGGTAGAGTTTTATATTCTGAGCAGACAAATCTAATCTTAATTTATGCAAATTTAGTGCTGGAGTTAGGTACTGAAAGCAACAGAACCAAAAATGTGAAGTTGGTTCAGTATACATATCAAACCACTGTGGGCCCAAAAGATTTCTTATAAACTTTGTTCTGCAGCTCTATTTGGGACACAGTCTGTGGACTGTAGTTTTAGGGAAAATGATAGGTAAAATCCGGAATTTGGTATATACTTGTTTTTGAGCTTGAAAAGGTCCTGAAAGAAGAAATGAGCCCTGACTGGAGCTTGCCAACTTGCAAATAAACATGGAAGAAAAGAGTGGTTTGTTAAGAGAGACATTCCACTCCTGAATCCAAAAACCTCAACATAAGATTCCTGAGTACACCCAAATTTGGAAACTGGCAGAGTTGACAAAGACAGTTACATCTACACCTCTCTTCCCTTAAAGCTTATTGCAGTAAGAAAGCTTTTTTAAGAAGGAGGTAGTTATCAATATTGACAGTACTGTCAACCACACAGACTCACATTACACATCCACCTACCCACATGCCCACTAAAGGTGAGACCTAAAATATAGTCTATTGGAAACTTCTAGTTAAAGATGGCGGATTTAGCGTATGCATTTAACTTATACTGTCTCCCAAATCCTTAATTTAAAAAGTCAATGAGGACAAAGAGAACAGGAAAGAAAACAATACATTTTGAAAGGTGGAAACCAGATGGATGAACGTGGAAAGCAAAAAATAAAATAGAAGCTACTAATAAATCTTTGGCAGACATTCGGGAAAGCCAGAAAGCAACTGCAGAATTCTCTGTATCTTTAGGAATTGGTGGCACTAGATATTTTTAGACATGAGAGTACAGATGGAATTAAAAATTGGAGATAGGTTTAAAGTCAATTTAGGAAGTTGTTTAACACTTTACTCCATAGCTGGAAATGCCCTTCACCATCTTGGCAGGAAACAAAGCTCATTCTCTGAAATGACTCTTTGTACTTGGGGATATAGGGCAGTGTGCAGGGTGGGAATTTTGTATCAAAAATAGAAAACTAAGTAAAATCTTACATGCTGAATATTGAGATTTCCAGCATTCTGCCAAAGCTTGTCCCTGAAAATCTAGGCAGCTCTGTGACTATTTTCTAAAGTACAAAAAAAGAAAAAAAAAAAAAAGAAAGAAAGAACGATCTCTGGAGAATCTGACAGCTCGGGGTGGAAACCTAAATTTATGACAATAAAATTCTCCAATAGTAAAGGCCAGGCAGACAATACTGCCGCAGTAACCACAGATGGTACTCTCCACCATGCACCCAGAACTACTAGCTTTTTTATACACCACTCTTAAATAAAAGCAGAGAATCAAGGGTCACTCAGACATTTGATAAAAGCAATTAATATGAAAGACAGGGAATAAAACAAACAAAAAGCAACAGGGTGAAGAAAACTTTATTTGTTCTCGGGGCTTAAGAGAAAAAATGCAGTAATGAAAGAAGATCAGGATACTATAAAAAGGAAAATTAGAGAAAAGGCACCTTAGAAATTAAACATATGACAGCAGAAATGAAAAACTCAATGGATTGGTGAGAACATAGAATTGAGGATTTCTCCCAGAAATCAGAAGAAAATGAAATAAATAGAATATAGAAAAGACAAGGAATTTGGAGTTTCAATCCATGAGAGACGATGCCCAAACCATAACAGTTGAAGAAAGAATACAGCAGTATAAACAACCATATCTGCACAACTATCCTAAAAACAATATAGAGAACACTAAATAGATGACAGACATGGTATTATAATATTTTATATATAAATAACATGCTAAGTGTAGAAACTATTATCCACAATAAAGATTTTTAAAACTATACTTGGTATCTTTATTAACTCAAATATATAGCAAAAGTAGAATTTGTGCCAGATTGTATCCGTTGTCACTGAGTTCCATGAGTTCACAATTCAGCTTACAGTGGCTTTCTTGACCCACCAGTGGGAAGCCTGTGAAAGTACATTTCCAGGACTTTCTTACCAAGTAGTTTCCATTAGGCTCTGATGCTGTGATGCACTTGAGGGATGTCGGAGGGATACACCCTCTGACGAGGGTGATGATAAGAAGGGATAAGTCTTTTCCTCCAGGCTATGGCAGTGCTTGTGATAATTACAGCTGAAGCTGCTCTGAACACGGGCTCTTAGGTAGGTTGGTTCTATCACCATCAGCTCAGCTGCACATGTAAAAATACTGAACATATTTTTCTTTGGTCACTAATTTTTCTAATAACTTACTTTCTTCTTGTTTGTCCTCCAGCTCTCTAAACATCTTTATAAGCAATTTATTTTATTTCATTTCCTCTGTTTGAAATACTCATTTTTGTTTTCTTAATTAGACCTTGACTGATAAAGACTTGGTTCCAGGAGCTATCCCAAAAAACTGAATCTTGATTATTGGGATTTAGGATATTTTGCCTAATTAAGTTTTAATGCATTCCACTACAAATGGAATATGTGATTGCTGGTATATAGTGGCAAAAAAGTTGCTTAATTATCTTCTCTGATTACCAAAGAGCCTATTGATAGCAATGTAAATGGTTACTGCAGTGTGAATATGAATTTCTCAAACACTTGGTACAGTTGTTCCAGTCTGCACTGGAAAGTTTCAGAAAGAAAATCATAAGCTCAGGACTGTACCTTCTCAGTTTAAGACACAGAACCAGAGCATTTCTATGATGGTTTGAGTAGGATTTTGCAAACTTTTTCTGTAAATGTCCAGATAATAAATATTTTAAGCTTTGTAGACAATGTGGTGGTCTCTATCACAACTACTCAACTCTGCTATTATTACTTGAAAGCAGCCACTGATAAGGAAAGCCACTGATAAAGGGATGGGTATGACAGTGTTCCAGTAAAATTTTATTTACAAAAACAGGTAGCAAGGTAAATTCTATATTATCTCATACCTCAAAACTTGGGTCCAAAATGTGATCTCATGCTTTATGAACACAGCATGCTGCCCTCTTCAGTGTAGTCTGTATCCTCAATAAGTTCTTAGCATGTAAAATTTGATCTCTATGTTCACGCCAGTTTATTCCAAAGACTGTTGGTATACCAACACCAAGTATGGGGCACTCTTACAAAGAGGGTATTGTCCATAGTGTCAAAAGTATTATTGTGAGAGAATATCTTATACCATGGCGGTCTCAGCAGAGGGATTGCAGAGGTAATTTTGGGATGTGGGGATTAGAGATCAGGGAAGCATAGGTTCTGGTTTGTCAGTTGTTAAATAGTTATGTTAGCATGCATGGCTATAGGGAACTTTTCACATATTTTTTGGTTAAAAAATTTGTGTACACTTATTAATTAAACAAATATGACTCTCATTGGCTAAGTATAATAAAATTATTGCTGAGCCAAATTCTAACTACATAATTTAAGATTATTATTGCAAATAGCTAAGTGAAAAATTCCATTCTCTATATTTTAGCATAGTTTCTATGTGCTATTTCAAGCACTTTACATATATTATTATAGTTTATCTTCAAAACAACCCTATAGAATAGGTACGATTATTATTCTCATTTCATAGATGAGAAAAAAGAGTGACAGGAATCTTGTGAAATCTAAACAAATTACAGTGGTAAAAATAGAGCCCTAAAAATTGTTCACATAAACTTTCTTGGATAACATTTTTAAAGTCTCAATAATTCAGGTATAAATTTATTTGAATCTTCTAGCACTGTAACTTTTTAAATTTTTATTTTTTTATTAATTTTATTATTTTATTTTTAATTGACAAATAACTGTATATATTTATTGGGTACAATGTGAAGTTTTGATATGTTTACATTGTGAAATGATTAAACCAAGTATGTGAAGTGATGGCTTTGTTAATTACCCTGATTCAATTTCCAGAATCTTAGTAGCTTTTGATAGACAAATACGTTACCAATGTAATCCACATCTTCATTCACCCTGAGATCATTAAAACAATTTGTATTCTTCTCAAAGTTGCCAATAAAAAAATAATGATGCTAGTGTTCACAAAAAGAAATAAAGGTTAAAAAGTAGTTTCAAATAAATGATCAGAATTTAGACCTGTCTACATGATCTGCTTCATGGTTTATATCCACTACTTGTGTAAAATTCTATTTGTCACTTTTTTTTGATATTTTCTAGTTTCTGTCACTTCGTTTTCCTTTTCCTCTCCTTTTTTTCTCTTCACCTCTTGTCTCTTTTTCTTTTTCAAGAAAATTGGTGCTGGAATAATTATGATACAGATTCCTGGGCCATTACCTTTAACATACCAAGGGTCAACATGAAAAAGGAAGAACTTGAGTTTACATTGAGTTTACAACTTTACATTGAACACATTTTTGGAATGAAATCTCAGGCCAAGAAAATGAAAATCTTTGTTACGCCAAATGGGATCAGTTTGTTACATATCTTCTGTGTAACAATTACCAGTGGGATAATGATGCCTCCAATGGTAAAATGCATTCCATTGCTAGGCCTGACTGCCTCTGCTTTAGTCAACATAAGACAAGTGAAGACCTTCATTGTCCCTTATCCCACCTCGCCTCAGCCAGTCCACATTTTAGAGTCTTCCTTTGCAACACCTGTATTAGGCAGGACTCTGTGGAGAGATACCAAAGCTTTAGCTATCTTAGGTATAAAGGAGCTTTATCGAAAGGATACTATGTAGTCTCACCAAAGTGCTCATAATACAGGGGTATATTTGAGTTTTGAGGGATTTCAACGACACTGGGACTCTCACTTTTTATATCCCTTCTTTTATCTAAATTATCTATTTGCCTTCATATCATCTACTGGCTTCCTCTTAAAAAAATGGAATAATTCAGTCAACAAATCTGGGCCTGTTTCATGACTTTCTCTACTAGAGAGGGCCTGAATCTTTCTTTTGGTAGTTCCAGTTGAAACACTGTTATTTTGCCTAAATTGAGTCAGGTGACTATCACGTGATCAATTAACTATAGGAACAGGGTTAGAACCACAAAACACAGAGAAGAATCTATGCCTCAGGAACATTTTAGAGGAAGGGGAATCGCTGTGAGCTGGCTGTGGTACTACTCAATTGAGACTCTGTGATATTCCTCATTATTAATTATGATTTAATTATTAGTTTTCTGGACTACTTAGGGAAAAAAATCAAAAACTTTTAAAAATGGTTTATGGAAGTAGTTATTTAAAATCTTGGAATGGACTCCAACTGCCTCTGTGCAAAAAGCATCGTTTACTAACACCCTGGGAGTTCTAGTAGATTCACACGACAAGAATTTGTCGTTACATTTCAGAAAACATATAATTGATCCTTTTCTCATCCCATCTCTTTTTACAGAAATGAAACTTTCTTACATGTTAACGGTATTCTTTTCCACTTAAAGAAGCAATACAAGAATTTTCTTTCAGGAGAAATTTTGTATTTCTTGGTTTATTTATTAGAAATCTTTATCTTTGATGGGGTGGTAAATGCAAGTATTTTAATCATCTTAAACTCATATTCTAAATAACTTTCGCATGAATAGAATACTGTAGTGAATTTTGGAATTTTTGCCCAAACTGAGATTTTTTTGGCTGGATACTTTACTGATTTACAATTATATTAAAATGTTTATATTTGGTTTTACCGATGTCATCTTGACATATAATTTCTGATTTTGTCCTTACATTGTGTATTTCCTCATTATCCTCTATATTTTACTACATGGATTCTGTTTATTCTTTTGAATTTGATTCTTGGCAGTTATTTGGGAGTTATTCATCCTGCCTTATTTTTCCTGCTAATAGAGGGTTTTTTTATTGTTTTGTTTTGTTTTGTTTTTGAGATACAGTTTTGCTCTTGTCACCCAGGCTGGAGTGCAATAGTATGACCTTGGCTCACTGCAACCTCCACCTCCTGAGTTCAAGTGATTCTCCTGCCTCAGCCTCCTGGGTAGCTGGGATTACAGGTGCCTGCTGCCACGCCTGGCTAATTTTTCTATTTTTAGTAGAGATGGGGTTTCACCATGTTGGCCAGGCTGGTCTCAAACTCCTGACCTCAGGTGATCCGCCTGCCTCAGCCTCCCAAAGCCAGTAGAGTTTTTAAGTTAAAAAATAAGTGTGTGTGTGTGTGTGTGTGTGTGTGTGTGTGTATTTTTTTCTTCAAGTAGTAACTTTAAGAGTAAAACAGAAGTTATCATAATCAGGAGTTGTAAGTCATTTGGCTATATTAGTCAGAGTTTTTTGGGTAGAAGTGACAAAAACATGACTCAAGCAAGCCTGACACAAAACAAAACAAGAGTGACTGAATTGTTTCACATTACTAAACTTTATGAAAAGTTGAAGAAAACTAGCTTAGTAATAAATGTAACCAGAGACCTACAAATTGTCAAGACCGTGTCCTTCTCCTCCTTTTGAAACACTGGCTATGTAGTTATTTTTTTGTTTGCAATCAAGGTTTTTTAGTGGCTATGATTATAATCCTAATAGTGTCTTATCTATTAAAAAGAAAAAAAGCCCAGCCATCAGATTTAGAAAAAAATATTAGGGAATTATTCTCTTTGGCCTAGAGTAGGTTATGTGCCCATTCCAGTTGCTAGGAATGCTAATTTAGGAAGATTGCAAGGCTGCACCCATAAATCACAGGAAGAGCTTCTACACAAAACAAGAGGAGGGGCACTCCACGTTAAAAGGATAAATGTTCACTAACCTTCCCACAGTTACATAGGTGACAGTCACAGAATGTGATTTGGACATGGTAATTAGGACTATAAAGTCTATAAACTTTCTAAAACATGAATTGGCCACCCTCAAAATTCTGAACCTTTGTATGCATTTTCCTACGTAAATAATTTCTATGATTATTTTCCACTACATCCAGACTTTACACTGCTTGAAGGCTAGGTATAAGCTTGATTTTTCTTGAAAACTCTCCTAGCATACATAACAAAATGCTTTGCACAGAGTCAGTTTACATGTTTGAAACTGACCAATAGCTCAACTATGAAAAAATTTCCTCAATGTATTCAACAATTTTTATATTCATCATTTGCAAATGCAAACAAATTTCTTAAATGAGGGAAGAGTAAAAAACGATAGAATAAATAAAATACGTAAGATGTTTAAGGTTATCCAGAGAGTTTTAGAGAGAGAGATTCTTCCAGTTTTTAACATGCTTATCACTATATTAAAACCCATGGAGAGTCCAGGAAAATAATTGACCTAAGAAGCATGGTTAGTAAGCACACCTGTAGTGCTGAAGGTGAGAAGACCATCATGGCTTCTGTATTACACTCCTTATCAGTAATGATTTAACTTTTCAGCCTTTACTTCAGGTTTTAATTTGTGAGTTTATTTTAAAATCAGGTGTGCTATTGGTATAAATCAGTGATTATTTTAACTAAGTGCTTTTGTGTGCTGGCCAAATTATTTTCAGCGCCTGGTGTTTGTTTTTTTTTTGTTGTTGTTGTTGTTGTTGTTTGTTTTTTCATAGACTCTGGGTTAATTTTGAGTAATTATCTGGATGTAATCTACATATAGAATAACAATTTCTCACTTTTAAAAAATGTTTTCTCAGAAACACACCTAAAATTCCTAAATATGCTTCTCTAAAAATCAATTTTGAAAGAATTTAACATGCCTTTGATATGTTTTAACATACAGGGGGACAAATTTATTTTTTTCTTACTAATCCAGTCTTGAATCAAATTTATGAAATCCTAGAAATAAAGGATGTCCTCAGTAGTCTTGTTATATGGTAGTAAAAATTTTTCTATTTATATATATTGAAATGGAAAAAGTGTACCTACCTAAAAAATCTATTACCTTACCAAACATAGATATAAGTCCCATCAAATAATATTTCTAGGCATATTACCTCAATTTGCATTGCTTTGAAAAAAATTATATAATTTATTTGTGATTACGTTTATTTTGTATGAACCTTACCTTCGTGTAAGATTGACTAGATTTGTGGTTGTTGTTAAATCCTTTTGAAGACATCGTGGCATTGCCTGTGAAGATTTACTTTTGTGAAAGCCTTTGAACTCTTAGCGCCAGTACTGGAAGCTTTATGCGGTATAAATGAGGAGGAGAATTCTTGCTATGCCAATTGTCAGCTTAACCACAGCTGTGTCACAAAATCTGGAAGTTTCTGTTGGAAAGGCAGCAGCAGGCACAGATGTTGGGCAATGATAGCAAGCATTTTTCAGTCACCCTTATGGAGATGACAACACACACACACACACACACACACACACACGCACACACACACTCAACTGAGCTTACAGAGGAGGCTGAGTTTCTTCAGATGATCCTAGTCCCATGGGGCTTGGTTACTTAAGAATTAGAGGAGTCTTTGTTGTTACTGGACTCCTTCCTGCCTTTGCAGGGACTGATGATTTGGAAAATCCAAATTGCTTGCTTTGTATCTTCCAAGTCTATAGCTGAGGTTGGGCAGGCTTTCAAGATGAGCTACTTGAACAAATAGAACTGCAGGCACAGAACCAATATTTCCCAGGGTGCACTGCAGTCTATTTAACAGAATGAGCTCCTTAGCATACAGAGAACGGCAGGGCATCTTATTTACCTTCACTTCGTATTGTATGTTTTATGCACCCAGAATAGACAAAAGGCAATATGACTACTAACATCTAATTCACATTAATTTGTAGCAGATTGGAGAACCCATGTTTTACCAAGATGCTTATGGTGAAGCTACCCTTATTACAGAAGAAAAAAGAAATATGGCATTCAGCTGTTTGCTAAATTGATCATTTATATTAATGTATTTTAAAAGCAATTATTTTATTAACTGATTCTAATATACTGGGTGTGTGGGATTAGCATGGTGTTACATTGTGCTGGCTTAAATTAAAGCTGTGCAAAACTATCAAAAATTTGATGTATTGGTAAAATGTCTTTTCTCCCATTTGTATGAGGTTTTGAAATCTACCACATTCTCAGAGAATTCATATTGACCCCAAATGGCCTGGGAAATATACATTTTAGAAATGTTCATGTTGAAATGTTAGCACATATGAAACTGAGACTCTTTTCTCAAGGATCTCTCTGATGTCTTTCTACTTCTTTGGTATATCTGCTTTGTCATGTTATTTGTTTGGCTCAAGAATCTCAGGAGCATCTGGTTGACATTGGCCTAAGAATACATAAACCATAGATGTGTAGGTTAGCAGCATTTTCTACTAAGCCTGACCACATAGCCACACCATTTAGTTAGCATGCAGAAAGATATCCTAATCCTGGACTATACTCTCCAAACATATATGATGTCAAATATACTTTAAAGCTACAGTAACCAAAACAATATGGTATTGGTACAAAAACAGATAAAGAGACCAATGGAACAGAATTGAGAACCCAGAAATGAAGCCACATACCTACAACCATCTGATCTCTGACAAGGCTGACAAAAACAAGCAATGAGGAAAGGACCCCCTATTCAATAAATAGTGCTGAGATAACTGAGTAGCCATATGCAGAGCATCGAAACTGGACCCTTACTTTTCACCATATATGAAAATTAACTCAAAGTGAATGAAAGATTTAAATGTAAAACCTAAAACTATTAAAAAATCTTGGATGAAAATCTAGGAAATACTCTCTAGACATTGGCCTTGACAAAGATTTTTTTTTGCTAAGTCCCCAAAAACAATTGCAACAAAAATGAAAATTGACCCATGGGATCTAATTAAACTAAAGAGCTTCTGGACAGCAAAAGAAACTATCAACAGAGTAAAAAGCAACCATTTGACAACCTATAGAATGGAAAAAATATCAGAAACTATGCATTCAACAAAGATCTAATATCCAGAATCCATAAGGAACTTAAATCAGCAAGCAAAAGGCAAATGATCCCACTAAAAACTTGGCAAATAACATGAAAAGACACTTCTCAAAGAAGACATACATGTGGTCAACAAACGTGAATAAATGCTCATCATCACAAATCAACAGAGAAATGCAAATCAAAACCATAATGAGATACCAGCTCACACCAGTCACAATGGGTATTATTAAAAAGTCAAATAATAACAGATGCTGGCAAGGTTGTAGAGAAAATGGAACACTTAAAAATTGTTGGTGGGAATGTAAATTAGTTCAGCCACACTGGGAAGCAGTTTGGCAATGTCTCAAAGATTTTAAAACAGAGCAGCGATTTGACCCAGCAATCCCACTACTGGGTATGTACCCAAAAGAAAAAAAAAATGTTCTGCCAAAAAGACACACATACTTCTATGTTCATCACAGTGCTATTTATAATAGCAAAGACTTAAATCAATGCAGGTGCTTATAAACAGTGGATTGAATAAAGAAAACATGGTACATATACACTATGGAATACTACACAGCCCTAAAAAGAATGAAATCATGTCTTTTGCAGCAACATGGATGCAGCTGGAGGCCATGATCCTAAGCAAATTAATGCAGGAAGAGAAAACTGAACACCACAATATTCTGACTTATAAGTGGGAGCTAAATTTTGGGTACTTATGAACATAGAGATGGGGAAAATAGAAACTGTGGACTACTAGGGGGAGGAATGGAGGAAGACATGGGTTGAAATACTACCTCTTAGGTACTATGCCCACTACCTGGCAAATGGAATCTGTATGCCAAACCTTAGCATCACACAGCATACCCATGTAACAAACCTACACATGTACTCCCTGTGTCTAAAATAAAAGTTAAAATTATTAAAGAAAAAAGGAGAAGGTGATGATAATTAAGTGATTATTATCAACAGAGACACTGAATTTATTTAGTTATTTATATTACATATAGAGGGAATTTTACTGTGAATTATCATTGAAGAGTCATCTCTTAGACAAGTGTATTTATTCATAAGCATGCATGTCATGACCATGTTTTCTTATCTGATATCTCACCAAGCTTTATAATCTGATATGGACAGTTTTCATTCAATTTTTCAGTAAGGCTAAAACAAATGATCATGTTTATTATATCAAACCAAAACACATCATTTAAATATTATATACATTTTAAATAATTCTATTTGTTTTCAGAATTCAGAGTCTCTCCTCAGTTAAAAAAAATACTAGTTTACTTTAAGGACAGTTTAGTCCAATTTAAAATATAAAGAGGGTTTAACACACACTATTTATTGTTATTATTTCTTAGGAAATTAAGTGCCCTCCAATGAGTGAACTAATACCAATCTACTTTATAACATCAAACGTGTACAAAGGCCTACAACTATCATAGCAAGTAATTTCCATACCTAGTATCCCATTCATCTTCAGTAATCCCTTGTGGTGATGAATATCATATCTTCTTTGCCTTTATAAACATTCTCAGCTGCAACTCAACATTGGAAAGGTACATAATAAGCACACTAAGTTGATACCCCTGAAGGGTATTGATTCTTCCTTATTTCCTTGAACTTTAAATGTTGGAGTGTTCCAGAACTTGGTCTTTTGATCACTCATTTATGTACAATCGCTCCTTTTGTTGTCTCCTGGATTATCTTGAAACCATGTGATCCTATTGATTCATCTCTTATTCTTAAAACATACTTTTCTCTAGGTTTCAGAAACATTGACTCCTGATAGGATACTCTCCTTTCTCGGTTTTCCCCTTGTGGGTGTGCCATAAGAAATGGTTTTATATCTCTTGTCATTTTTATATGGTCTCCTCGGAATATCTTCTTTACTTCCATGGGCTCAGTTGCCCTCTATATGCTCAAGATTCCCAATTTCATATTGATGGGTCATTACCTTTGGCCTGGACCATTGAAATAACCTGGTATTTGATCTATTCAAATTTGCTTTTAGTCTCATACAAGTAATTCAATTCCTTTGGGGAAAAAAGTGTTCAAATATAAATTCTGAGTATGTTAATTCATGCTTAAAATCTTTAAATAGGTTTTCATTGATCTTAGATAAGTATCTAAATTCTCTAGCCCCTGGGAACCTCACAATCTCAAACACCCGATTAAGTTCCTCCTGAAACATATAGTATAGATTACGTTGTTTCTTTCTGTTGCTTGAATAGCGCATGTACCCTTTGGCCTTTGGACATTTGTACATGTTAGTTCCTCCCCTGGGCCCATACAATTTCACTTCTTTGCCTGGATAGCTCCCAGGAATTCCTTAGATTTCAGCTTAAATGTTAACTTAAAAACAAGAATTCCCTGACCCAATGCTTTACAAGAACTATATGATATATTATTTTATTTATTGTTTAAATATCAACCTTTCTTGCCTCTGCAGAATCCTTGAAAAAAAGAATCGTAATAGACTTTAAGTCTATCATATAGTTAATGATCCATTAATATTTATCAGGAACACAGAGACAAAAGAAATTGCCTCTCTACACTAAGATTTCAGACTGGTGGGAGAGATTGACACACACACTCAAAAAACAGACAATGACAAAAGGAAGTATAAAGAATAAAATACTTGAGAATGAGACAAGAGAGTGTATTTCAAGCCTAAATGGAGAAATAGACTATGGTGTAATTTTTCTTCTCAGGTTCTCTATGCTCTCCATGAAATATGAAGCAAGCAAGAGGAATAACAAGAGATGTATTAAGATAGAAGAGGAGAGGTATTTATAGTTTATTTATATGACTATTTATAGTCCTCACCGTAAGAGACAAAAAAATGGACTTTCTAGGGAAACATAATTGGACTTTCGTTCTTCCAGGAAATTTTGAGAGTCCACCTCAGGCTGCTGATTAAAAACCCAAAGTGAAATTTTCAGACCTGGTTGTGTAACTTTTCTCCAGGCAAAATTAGCTCTCTGGGTGCAGGTGATGAAGAGGTAGATAACGATAGCTGAATAAATTTCTGAAAATACTGTATGTTAAATATTTTTGCCTAGAGGCAAAAGAAGGCCAAGTAATCCAGATTGCGAGGATCAAAGATGTCTTCCAAAAACTCCTTTCAGCAAAGGAGAGTTTGAAGAAGTAAGACATGGTATTCCAGCCAGAGAAGTGTGCATATGTCTAGATCCAGGCATATGAAACAGCACGGCACATCAAGGATCTGTAAAGAAATTCAGGGTGCCTAGAACACAGGGCACTCAAAAAGTGGCAGAAAATGTGATCACAGTGCCCAGGTCCTAAAGGCCATCTAAAGATGCATGGAGGAGATTGGATTGATCCTGAAGCTTTGGGGTACTACTAAAGGATTTTAAATGAAAGAGTGACTTAATCAGAATTGTTCTGGCAGTAGGGTATAAAATGAGTTTGAGTATAGGAGGCATAACAATTGTAGCTATCTAATTATGAGAAAACGAGAGAGAAACTGAATTAAGGTGATGATGGTAGGCATTATTTTTATTATTATGTGTTGGTATAGTACGAAAAAATTCTCAGAGAGATTAAATTATTTACTTAAGATTTCACAAGACTTTAGCCATGGAAATATCACCAACATTTAGAGCTGGCCCCAAGTCCAGTGCTCTTTCCACTACATTCATGGGAAGCTCCCCATTTATATAGAGTTGGAGATCATACCTTACATCAGCTAAACCACATGTGAATGCAGGAGGCACTGAATGCTGGGGAGGTGAATTATCCCACACTGTCAGGGCAGAAGTTAGAGAGATGCTGCATGTATTTTTTTAGCAGCTATTATTTATCCTGAAGGAAGAAGGACAAATCGGAAATGTGAAGTCTCAACATAGAGTTTTTGGAAGGGGATTTCAAGCTATTTGGTCTGGCCAGGGCAATCAGGCAGGAGAAGGAAATAAAGGGTATTCAATTAGGAAAAGAGGAAGTCAAATTGTCCCTGTTTGCAGATGACATGATTGTATATCTTGAAAACCCCATCGTCTCAGCCCCAAATCTCCTTAAGCTGATAAGCAACTTCAGCAAAGTCTCAGCATATAAAATCAATGTGCAAAAATCATGAGCATTCTTATACATCAATAACAGACAAACAGAGAGCCAAATCATGAGTGAACTCTCATTCACAATTGCTTCAAAGAGAATAAAATACCTAGGAATCCAACTTACAAGGGATGTGAAGGACCTCCTCAAGGAGAACTACAAAACACTGCTCAATGAAATAAAAGAGGATACAAACAAATGGAAGAACATTCCATGCTCATGGGTAGGAAGAATCAATATCATGAAAATGGCCATACTGCCCAAGGTAATTTATAGATTCAATGCCATCCCCATCAAGCTACCAATGACTTTCTTCACAGAATTGGAAAAAACTACTTAAAAGTTCATATGGAACCAAAAAAGAGCCTGCATCGCCAAGGCAATCCTAAGCCAAAAGAACAAAGCTGGAGGCATCACCCTACCCGACTTCAAACTATGCTACAAGGCTACAGTAACCAAAACAGCATGGTACTGGTATCAGAACAGAGATATAGACCAATGGAACAGAACAGAGACCTCAGAAATAATACCACACATCTATAACTATCTGATCTTTGACAAACCTGACAAAAACAAGCAACGGGGAAAGGATTCCCTATTTAATAAATGGTGCTGGGAAAACTGGCTAGCCATATGTACAAAGCTGAAACTGGATCCCTTCCTTATGCCTTGTACAAAAATTAATTCAAGATGGATTAAAGACTTAATTTTTAGACCTAAAACCATAAAAATCCTAGAAGAAAACCTAGGCAATACCATTCAGGACATAGGCATGGGCAAGGACTTCATGTCTAAAACACCAAAAGCAATGGCAACAAAACCAAAATTGACAAATGGGATCTAATTAAACTAAAGAGCTTCTGCACAGCAAAAGAAACTACCATCAGAGTGAACAGGCAACCTACAGAATGGGAGAAAATTTTTGCAATCTACTCATCTGACAAAGAGCTAACATCCAGAATCTACAATGAACTCAAACAAATTTACAAGAAAAAAACAACCCCATTGACAAGTGGGCAAAGGACATGAACAGACACTTCTCAAAAGAAGACATTTATGCAGCCAAAAGACCCATGAAAAAATGCTCATCATCACCAGCCATGAGAGAAATGCAAACCAAACCCGCACACCAGTTAGAATGCAATCATTAAAAAGTCAGGAAATAACAGGTGCTGGAGAGGATGTGGAGAAATAGGAATACTTTTACACTGTTGGTGGGACTGTAAACTAGTTCAACCATTGTGAAAGTCAGTGTGGCGATTCCTCAGGGATCTAGAACTAGAAATACCATTCAACCCAGTCATCTCATTACTGGGTATATACCCAAAGGATTATAAATCATGCTGCTATAAAGACACATGCACACGTATGTTTATTGCGGCACTATTCACAATAGCAAAGACTTGGAACCAACCCAAATGTCCAACAATGATAGACTGGATTAAGAAAATGTGGCACATATACACCATGGAATACTATGCAGCCATGAAAAATGATGAGTTCATGTCCTTTGTAGGGACATGGATGAAGCTGGAAACCAACATTCTCAGCAAACTATCGCAAGGACAAAAAACCAAACACCGCATGTTCTCAGTCATAGGTGGGAATTGGACAATGAGAATAGTTGGACACAGGAAGGGGAACATCACACACCGGGTCCTGTTTTGGGGTGGGGGTGGGGGGAGGGATAGCATTAGGAGATATACCTAATGCTAAATGACGAGTTAATGGGTGCAGCACACCAAAATGGCACATGTATACATATGTAACAAACCTGCACGTTGTGCATATGTACCCTAAAACTTAAAGTATAATTAAAAAAAAAAAACTCAACACGTACATACTTCATTTTTCTTCCATTTCATGTCTACTTTTCCTTCCAAAAGGGTCATGTTGTCACTCACTAGTAACAGTCTTAAATACTTTTGAGTGACATACGTGTTACTGACTTGTTGAAACCCCTAGATTCCCTTTTTCATTTTCTCATGAATGCAGTATTCATTATCAGTTTGCAAATGGAACATTCTCAGTAGCAGGACCTATGTTACCTTTACTTTAAGTAAGAAATGCTATGTACAGTTACCATCTGATGCTGTGTGAGATAGCAAGCAGAATAGTAGGATTTCGTTGTAGTGTGTCCATAATTTCATTTCCTAACCTGGATAAAATCTAGAAGCTTGGAAGTATGAAAACTTAGCTATTTTGTTTCAACTTTTATTTACTTATATCAGATGTGTGTCAAAATGAAAGAAAGAAAATACTGAACTAACAAGATGATTGAGAAGAGACATGAAATAATTCAAACAGCTCTGCCACTCTGAATGTTAGAACCGCATTCCAGAAGATGTCATAACTCTGCAACTCAAAGCACAAGTTCATTTGCGACAGCATCACAAGCATTATGGAAGTCATGGATTTCAGGCCCACTGTCCAGTGGATGTTGTTACATATGTTGATAATTTCACTTTACTGTCACAATTTAGACTTTTATTTTAGTATGTCATATTTTTATTGAGGAAAATATCTGTGGTTAACTAATAAATACACAAAGCTAATCAGATGGGTCTATAATGTTTAATGAACAATAACAATAGTAATAATGGCTGCTATTAAGGGTTCTTAATTTATGCTAATACCAGTGTAGGTAACTTGGAATAAATTAACTCATTTACTCTTCAGATTCTATTAAATGGTAATATTAACCCCATTCAGCCAGGGCAAGCAAGGCTAGATATTAATCTCATTCTCAATGATTCTCAAACTCAACTTCTTAAAGGCTCTGCTTTACATTTCGCTTGTAGGAAAAGCAGAATATTTGCAGCTAGTGAACTATAAGGGTAGGTCTCCCCATCTGTCATTACAGTACATCTGCTAACTTTTCTTACCATTTTACATTGCATCTCAGGCAGGCACACAAATATTAGGAGAGTATAGTTCTCAAAACCATTTAGCCACTTATTTATTCATTCAATGGATATATATTGAGTACCCACTATATTCCAGATATTGTTTTGTTTTAGGTGCTGAATAGAAGAACATATGAAATGTGCATAACCCTGTGGAATGAACTAGGAGTAAAATATGTTCGCTATAATTGTGAATATAAAATTAAAGAAACTATGTCGAAACAGAAGAAAAATCTGTAACTAAGAATGTTCAAATGTTCTGCAATTTTTCTATTAGATTTACTGCTTTTTCATTCTTTTACTCCTCTGCTAGATATTGCTAACAATTTAGCACTAATTGATAGAATAGGTTTGATAGTGAAATGTGCACGAAAGAATAATAGAGAAATTCTAAGGCTTTTATGTTTTTTGCAAATTGAGGTAAGACTTTTGTTATTCAATTTGCATTCAACTCAGGTCAAGAAATATCAGTATTCTCTTAGTGCATAATTTGATAATTACCAACATGGGATGAATCAACTCTAAAAAATAAATTTATATTTATATTTTGGATATACTTTGAAGATTTCAAGCAATAGAGAAATGCTGTTAATTAATGGCTACCATATTAAAAGTACTTGCTATTTCACCATAATTCTAATTTGTATTTCATATGCATTAAAACATTTAATATTCCCCCAAAAAAACATGAAATAGGTATTCAGTTGCTCTCTATTTACTGAAGACTTCCAATGCCATATTTTAAGTTTATTTTAGATGAGAAAAAATATGCTTAAGAGGTTCAGCACTTGCTTAAGATCACATGGTAAATAAGTAATACAGCCAGGATTTTAGAATAAGACTTTTTGCTTCCAGCACTATGTAATTTTCACAACATAGCAACACTGTCTTCCACTACCATCTGGTATTTGGATAGAGAAAATATCTAAAACATTAATTATTAAGTATTCTTCTGAATATATAAGGTAGGAAATTATTTCTATTCAATTGACTGACTACTATCAAATACTGTGACTAACATTACATATGGAGATTTGCTCAAAGGGACACAAGAAGGGGCACAGGGGAAGAAGATATATGATATAGGAACGTCCTTTTCAAATCTCTCACTTCTAAGTAACAAAAATGTCATAAATAATATTTTAAATGTCATACATTGGATTATTTTGTGCATAGCACTCACACTTAAAACAAGGTTCTTGGAACAATATAAAGTTATAACAACATTTTTGGGGAAGGAAGTAGTTGTGATGTGAACACTAATACTTCTGTAAAGCCCTCTATGGAGCAGAATTTTTTCATTTTTTTAGAAATATTACCTACAAGTCATATGTGCAAGTCTGCAGATTGCTAATATAACCCTACCTGCTCATTCCATTTAAGAAACATGAGGCTGAAATGGAATTCTACATGAGTTTAATAGGGGAAAAAAGATAATGAAAATGTGACTTCCATGCAAAAGTCATGTGATCTGGAAAAAAACAGAAATTGATCTTGTAGAGCTATAGCTTTTCACTTTTGAACAGTTATTTCCTCTCAACCTAGAAGTACCTATATATTACTGAGGGAAGTGAAGATTTCTATGAAAAAAGTGTGCAAGTTGATTAGTTTCTTTGAATGGGAGCATAACCAAGAAGAATATATGGGCGGAGAGGAAATAATATTTATCTACTTGGATATAGGGAAAATTTAGTTAAACGAAATAATTTGTAAAGAGCAAATGTAGTTTATACAATTAGAGCATCAATATCAGATAACCCTGACATAGTTTTGACCATATAAATAAAACAGTGCAATACAGAGGTTATACATTTAAACAGAACAAACTAAGGAATGTAAGATCAAAACTGTCATAACAGGAAATGTAATCCTTTAAATGACTCATTTGAGAACCTAAATAACATTGAAAAACTAGATAGCCATGAAATGTTACTAGATCTTCAAAAAGCATGAAAAATTACACTGCTGTCCACGGTATTTATATAGTCAAAATATTTTTCAACCTCATCATTTACATTGGCTTTTGTTTTAAAAGCCAATTTTGTTCTAAAAAAATAAAAAGTAAAGGAAAAAAAGATCCAAATATCTGTCTTATTTTCAACCAATCTAAAATCATAAAAGTAAACGAATTCACACATACAACAATCTACAAAAGTATTTACAATATTACGGTCATGGAAATACACACACACTTCCAAATGTGCAGTGCCAAATTTCCTGAAGCCTCTCAAAAGTATTTTTTTCAATCGTTATGGCTTCAAAAAAAATAGTTTACCTTAATTACCCAGGGAGCGCCTCTATTTTACATACAAGACATATGGAAAAATCTCAGATTTCAAAGTAAATTCATTTTAGAGCTATTTGTAATTTCCAAAATAACTTAACTGATTTTGAAGTAGAAAAAAATAAATACATATTTACAACAATATCAAACTCTAAATTGTTCCATGGTTGTGTATTTTAGGCAAACTTAGAGTCTGGGCAAATAATAATATTTCAATCATAATTTAATAACAATTACTCACAAATTATACAATTTGATTTTTTACCTATCAAAAAGTGATTAAAATTCTGAATCTCCCAGTAAATAAATCTGTCTCAACATTTAATCCTTAAGGAGACTATGATCCTTTAAAACAATTATTTTCATTTGCAGCATCGAGGACCAAGACAAATTACAGACTATTATAATAGAAAATAACTTAAAAACCAATTTGTCCACTATTACATGTCTAGATTTTAATATACCCTAGTAAATGATTACTCAGGACTATAACATTATTAATTATCTGTTTTTGCTATTTTAAATACCATAAAATGTAAACCTTGGTTAATTAAAGATCTTAGAAAACCTTCTAAGTGTTTAACTGCAGAGTTTTAACATCGGCATTACCCAGTGTGTATTCCAACTAAATACTAATTCTGTAGAACATTAAAAGGAGTTCCATGAAACAAAAAATTTTCAACAAAATAAAGTTTAAAGAAAGCTGGGTTAATCAAACAAAATGTCTTCCTGTAGAACTACATGCAACATTAAACAGACATTTAAAATGATGAAATACTTACCAGTTGCGGTGGCTCACACCTGTAATCCCAGCACTTTGGGAGGCTGAGGGGTGAATCACAAAGTCCAGAGTTCAAGACCAGCCTGGACAATATAGTGAAACCCTGTCTATACTAAAAATACAAAAATTAGCCGGGCGTGGAGGCACGTGCCTGTAATCCCAGCTACTTGGGAGGCTGAGGCAGGGAACTGCTTGAACCCGGGAGGCAGATGTTGCAGTGAACGGAGGTTGTATCACTGCATTCCAGCCTGGGCAACAGAGTGAGACTCCATTTCAAAAAAAAAAAAAAATGAAAAACTTAAAGGGAAACTTTGTTCATGAACAAATCAGATTATAATATAGACTAATATTTATTTTATATACATATTTAGTTTATAATATAGATTATACATAATGTCATACATTACATATAAGTTCATATTACATATCTATATAATTACACATTATATATTGCATATTATGTTATACATAATTACAGAGAAAAGAGAATTATCTTTGATGAGATTATGATAATCATAATTGTCTTTTCTACATTGTCCTCAAGGAAAATCACTACAAGAAAAAGTGTTTTAATACCTTAACTCGTATATTATGAAGGCCAATTTGAGCATCTTAAGAGTGAAATAATTCACTTCTTAAAAATTCATTAAAACTATACCCTAAACTCTGGATTTAGAATATACAACATATCCTGATAGTAAAAACCTTCATAAAGTTGACACTATATTCAGGCCTGGCGAGGTGGCTCTCACTTGTAATCCCAACACTCTGGGAGGCCAAGGTGGGTGGATCACTTTAGGTCAGGAGTTCAGACCAGCCTGACCAACATAGTGAAACTGCATCTCTAGTAAAACCACAAAAATTATCTGGGTGTGGTGGCATGCTCCTGTAATCCCAGTTACTCAGGAGGCTGAGGCATGAGAATCACTTGAACCTGATTGCAGTGAGCCAAGATCCCACTGGAGAAGGTTGCAGTGAGCTGAGATCATGCCATTGCACTCCAGCCTGGGTGACAGACTGAGACTGTCCCCTTGCCACACAAAAAATGTTGGCACTATATTTAAAGTTTAAATGGTAAACACAGGATAAGTTGACATCCACATTCTCTTCATAAAACTGTTCTTTGGATTTTGCCTTCTTATTTTCTACGCTGTGTTAGAGATTTTTTAAAAATTCCATTTTGCCTTTGAAAGAAAAAGCAAACTCCCTAAAGCAAATTCTCTCAAGTTTTTAGAATGATACTGTCTTAAATTGTTGGGAATAGATTTTAATACTACATGTTTATGGTGTTACACATTATTTGTTCCCACAAGGAAAGTTAAATCCACAAATAATTTGAAGTCACATTTAGAAGGAAGTTATTCATCCAGAATTGATTTCCAATTTGAAAAATATTATCAAAAGTCATGTTAAAACAACTGGTCTTATCACTGAATATGAGCCCTACAGATGCCAAATTTAACTTTCCAATTTTGGCTAAAAGTTGGTGTGAACAGATATATCAGTTTCTTTGAAAAGTCTTATTAACTTGTTGTTCAATTATGATTATTAATCACACTTTTCCACATTCATAAGTTAAATAAGATAGTTATGTGATCTGATACATTATATGGTCATCTGAATTAAGTAGAACCACTGTCACCACAACTTAACAACTATGATGTGCCAAGAGGTTTCATAGACTTTATAGTCTGATTAGGCCTAAGAGCTGGCTTTTAGAATTTACTATCTGTTATTGAAACTGCTTCCTTGACTGGTATATCTAACAGTTTGGTCAGATAACTTCATCCTAAAATTACAGAAGTGAGAAGGGGTTAAAGCAGCAGTCCCCAAACTTTTTGACACCTTTTTGACCAGTTTTGTGGAAGACAATTTTCCGTGGACTGGGGAAAGGTCCAGGGTTGTTTGAGGATGACTCAATGATTCAAGTGTATAACATTTATTGTGCACTTTATTTCTATTACTATTACACTGTAATAAATAATGAAATAATTATACAGCTCACCATAATGTAGAATGAGTGGCAGCCCTGAGCTGTACTAGACAGTCCCATCTGGGGGTTATAGAAGACAGTGACAGATCATCAGGTATTAGATTTTCATAAGAAGTGTGCAGCCTAGATCCTTCACATGTGCAGTTGACAATATGGTTCATGCTCCTATGAGAATCTAATGTCGCCACTGATGTGATAAGAGGTGGAGCTCAGGCGGTAATGCAAGTGATAAGGAGCACCTGTAAATACAGAAGAAGCTTTGCTGGCTTGCCTGCCACTCACCTACTGCTGTGCGGCTCAGTTCCAACAGACCATGGACCAACACCTGTCCATGGCCCAGGGGTTGGGGACCCCTGGGTTAAAGTATGCAGTTTGTGCCTACTTCACTCTCTCTATTATATATAATATTTGCAATGTATACCATACATCAGAATAATTTTTTTCCTCCATTGACCTTCTACTTTTCCCTTAGAGGCACTCCCCTCTTTACTGAGTATTGTTTAGTTTTTTCATTGTTCAGTTTGTTTATTTTCTTGTTTTGATTTGTTTTATTTGCCTGAGGGAATAAAATAATTCTTTTAAATGTTGGAAAATTTAAAGAGTGAATTCAAAATTATTTCTGCTTTCTGGTCTGTTGTTTTCCCTCCCTGAGGGAATAAATCCTAAAGGAACAATAAAATTAAATGAGGTGGGCAAGGGGGAAGGCAAAGAAGAATATATTGAATGAAATATAATATTGAAAAATTATTATTCCATCACATTTTTTTTAAACCACACTTACATCACTAGACATAACAAATGGTTAGAGATAGAAACTGAAAATGGGAAAGTACAAAATAAATTATGTTTAAAGAAAAAAATCTATCCATAAATTATTTTAAAAATAATTTGTTGACAATAAGTCTTTTGTTTTAATTGAAAAAGTCACTGTTGGGCCGGGCGCAGTGGCTCAGGCCTGTAATCCCAGCATTTTGGGAGACCGAGGTGGGCAGATCACGAGGTCAGGAGATCGAGACCATCCTGGCTAACATGGTGAAACCCCATCTCTACTAACAATACAAAAAATTAGCCAGGCATGGTGGCACACACCTGTAGTCCCAGCTACTCGGGAGGCTGAGGCAAGAGAATGACTTGAACCTGGGAGGCGGAGGTTGCAGTGAGCCGAGATCATGCCCCTGCATTTCAGCCTGGGCGACAGAGCGAGACTCCGTCTCAAAAAAAAAAAAAAAGGGGGCGGGGGGGTGGAGCCAAGATGGCCGAATAGGAAGAGCTCTGGTCTACAGCTCCCAGTGTGAGCGACATAGAAGACGGGTGATTTCTGCATTTCCATCTGAGGTACTGGGTTCATCTCACTAGGGAGTGCCAGACAGTGGGTGCAGGACAGTGGATGCAGTGCACCCGGCGCGAGCCGAAGCAGGGCGAGGCATTGCCTCACTCAAAAAGTGCAAGGGGTCAGGGAGTTCCCTTTCCTAGTCAAAGAAAGGAGTGACACACGGCACCTAGAAAATCAGGTCACTCTCACCCTAATACTGCACTTTTCCAATGGGCTTAAAAAACGGCACACCAGGAGATTCTATCCCGCACCTGGCTCAGAGGGTCCTACGCCCACGGAGTCTCGCTGATTGCTAGCACAGCAGACTGAGATCAAACTGCAAGGTGACAGCGAGGCTGGGGGAGAGGTGCCTGCCATTGCCCAGGCTTGATTAGGTAAACAAAGCAGCCGGGAAGCTCGAACTGGGTGGAGCCCACCACAGCTCAAGGAGGCCTGCCTGCCTCTATAGGCTCCATCTCTGGGGGCAGGGCACAGACAAACAAAAAGACAGCAGTAACCTCTGCAGACTTAAATGTCCCTGTCTGACAGCTTTGAAGAGAGTAGTGGTTCTCCCAGCACGCAGCTGGAGATCTGAGAACGGGCAGACTGCCTCCTCAAGTGGGTCCCTGACCCCCAAGCAGCCTAACTGGGAGGCATCCCCCAGTAGGGGCAGACTGACACATCACACGGCCGGGTACTCCTCTGAGACAAAACTTCCAGAGGAATGATCAGGCAGCAGCATTTGTGGATCACTAATATCCGCTGTTCTACATCCACCACTGTTCTGCAGCCACCGCTGCTGATACCCAGGCAAACAGGGTCTGGAGTGGACCTCTAGCAAACTCCAACAGACCTGCAGCTGAGGGTCCAGTCTGTTAGAAGGAAAACTAACAAACAGAAAGGACATCCACACCAAAAACCCATCTGTACGTCACCATCATCAAAGACCAAAAGTAGATAAAACCACAAAGATGGGGAAAAAACAAAGAAGAAAAACCGGAAACTAAAAAGCAGAGCACCTCTCCTCCTCCAAAGGAACACAGCTTCTCACCAGCGATGGAACAAAGCTGGATGGAGAATGACTTTGATGAGTTGAGAGAAGAAGGCTTCAGATGATCAAACTACTCCAAGCTACAAGAGGAAATTCAAACCCATGGCAAAGAAGTTAAAAACTTTGAAAAAAAAATTAGATGAATGGATAACTAGAATAACCAATACAGAGAAGTCCTTAAAGGAGCTGATGGAGCTGAAAGCCAAGGCTCAAGAACTACGTGAAGAATGCAGAAGCCTCAGGAGCCGATGCGAGCAACTGGAAGAAAGGGTATCAGTGATGGAAGACGAAATGAATGAAATGAAGTAAGAAGGGCAGTTTAGAGAAAAAAGAATAAAAAGAAATGAACAAAGCCTCCAAGAAATATGGGACTATGTGAAAAGACCAAATCTATGTCTGATTGGTGTACCTGAAAGTGACGGGGAGAACGGAACCAAGTTGGAAAACACTCTGCAGGATATTATCCAGGAGAACTTCCCCAATCTAGCAAGGCAGGCCAACACTCAGATTCAGGAAATACAGAGAACACCACAAAGATACTTCTCGAGAAGAGCAACTTCAAGACACATAATTGTCAGATTCACCAAAGTTGAAATGAAGGAAAAAATGTTAAGGGCAGCCAGAGAGAAAGGTCGGGTTACCCACAAAGGGAAGCCCATCAGACTAACAGCCGATCTCTCGGCAGAAACTCTGCAAGCCAGAAGAGAGTGGGGGCCAATATTCAACATTCTTAAAGAAAAGAATTTTCAACCCAGAATTTCATATCCAGCCAAACTAAGCTTCATAAGTGAAGGAGAAATAAAATACTTTACAGATAAGCAAATGCTGACCGATTTTGTCACCACCAGGCCTGCCCTAAAAGAGCTCCTGAAGGAAGCGCTAAACATGGAAAGGAAAAACTGGTACCAGCCACTGCAAAAACATGCCAAAATGTAAAGACCATCAAGGCTAGGAAGAAACTGCATCAACTAACGAGCAAAATAACCAGCTAACATCTTAATGACAGGATCAAATTCACACATAACAATATTAACTTTAAATGTAAATGGGCTAAATGCTTCAATTAAAAGACACAGACTGGCAAATTGGATAAAGAGTCAAGACCCATCAGTGTGCTGTATTCAGGAAACCCATCTCACATGCAGAGACACACATAGGCTCAAAATAAAGGGATGGAGGAAGATCTACCAAGCAAATGGAAAACAAAAAAAGGCAGGGGTTGCAATCCTAGTCTCTGATAAAACAGACTTTAAACCAACAAAGATCAAAAGAGACAAAGAAGGCCATTACATAATGGTAAAAGGATCAATTCAACAATAAGAGCTAGCTATCCTAAATCTATATGCACCCAATACAGCAGCACCCAGATTCATAAAGCAAGTCCTTAATGACCTACAAAGAGACTTAGACTCTGAGACAATAATAATGGGAGACTTTAACACCCCACTGTCAACATTAGACAGATCAACGAGACAGAAAGTTAATAAAGATACCGAGGAATTAAACTCAGCTCTGCACCAAGTGGACCTAATAGACATCTGCAGAACTCTCCACCCCAAGTCAACAGAATATACATTTTTTTCAGCACCACACCACACCTATTCCAAAATTGACCACATAGTTGGAAGTAAAGCACTCCTCAGCAAATGTAAAAGAACAGAAATTATAACAAACTGTCTCTCAGACCACAGTGCAATCAAACTAGAACTCAGCATTAAGAAACTCACTCAAAACCACTCAACTACATGGAAACTGAACAACCTGCTCCTGAATGACTACTGGGTACATAACGAAATGAAGGCAAAAATAAAGATGTTCTTTGAAACCAATGAGAACAAAGACACAACATACTAGAATCTCTGGGATGCATTCAAAGCAGTGTGTAGAGGGAAATTTATAGCACTAAATGCCCACAAGAAAAAGCAAGAAAGATCCAAAATTGACACCCTAACATCACAGTTAAAACAACTAGAAAAGCAAGAGCAAACATATTCAAAAGCTAGCAGAAGGCAAGAAATAATTAAAATCAGAGCAGAACTGAAGGAAATAGAGACACAAAAAACCCTTCAAAAATTAATGAATCCAGGAGCTGGTTTTTTGAAAAGATCAACAAAATTGACAGACCGCTAGCAAGACTAATAAAGAAGAAAAGAGAGAAGAATCAAATAGATGCAATAAAAACTGATAAAGGGGATATCACCACCAATCCCACAGAAATACAATCTACCATCAGAGAATACTACAAACACCTCTATGCAAATAAACTAGAAAATCTAGAAGAAATGGATAAATTCCTCGACACATACACCCTCCCAAGACTAAACCAGGAAGAAGTTGAATCTCTGAATAGACCAATAACAGGCTCTGAAATTGTGGCAATAATCAACAGCCTACCAACCAAAAAAAGTCCAGGACCAGATGGATTCACAGCCGAATTCTACCAGAGGTACAAGGAGGAGCTGGTACCATTCCTTCTGAAACTATTCCAATCAGTAGAAAAAGAGGGAATCCTCCCTAACTCATTTTATGAGGCCAGCATCAACATGATACCGAAGGCTGGCAGAGACACAACCAAAAAAGAGAATTTTAGACCAATATCCTTGATGAACATTGATGCAAAAATCCTCAATAAAATACTGGCAAACCAAATCCAGCAGCACATCAAAAAAGCTTATCCACCATGATCAAGTGGGCTTCATCCCTGTGATGCAAGGCTGGTTCAACATATGCAAATCAATAAATGTAATCCAGCACATAAACAGAAGCAGACAAAAACCACATGATTATCTCAATAGATGCAGAAAAGGCCTTTGACAAAATTCAACAACGCTTCATGCTAAAAACTCCCAATAAATTATGTATTGATGGGACATATCTCAAAATAATAAGAGCTATCTATGACAAACCCACAGCCAATATCATACTGAATGGGTAAAAACTGGAAGCATTCCCTTTGAAAAGTGGCACAAGACAGGGATGCCCTCTCTCACCACTCCTATTCAACATAGTGTTGGAAGTTCTGGCCAGGGAAATAGGGGAGGAGAAGGAAATAAAGGGTATTCAATTAGGAAAAGAGGAAGTCAAATTGTCCCTGTTTGCAGATGACATGATTGTATATCTAGAAAACCCCATCATCTCAGCCCAAAATCTCCTTAAGCTGATAAGCAACTTCAGCAAAGTCTCAGGATACAAAATCAATGTTCAAAAATCACAAGCATTCTTATACACCAACAACAGACAAACAGAGAGCCAAATCATGAGTGAAATCCCATTCACAATTGCTTCAAAGAGAATAAAATACCTAGGAATCCAACTTACAAGGGATGTGAAGGACCTCTTCAAGGAGAACTACAAACCACTGCTCAAGGAAATAAAAGAGGATACAAACAAATGGAAGAACATTCCATGCTCATGGGTAGGAAGAATCGATATCATGAAAATGGCCATACTGCCCAAGAAAATTTGTAGATTCAATGCCATCCCCATCAAGCTACCAATGACTTTCTTCACAGAATTGGAAAAAAATTACTTTAAAGTTCATATGGAACCAAAAAAGAGCCTGCATCGCCAAGTCAATCCGAAGCCAAAAGAACAAAGCTGGAGGCATCATGCTACCTGACTTCAAACTACACTACAAAGCTACAGTAACCAAAACAGCATGTTACTGGTACCAAAACAGAGCTATAGATCAATGGAACACAACAGAGCCCTCATAAATAATGCTGCATATCTACAACCATCTGATCTTTGACAAACCTGTCATAAACAAACAATGGGGAAAGGATTCCCTATTTAATAAATGGTGCTGGGAAAACTGGCTAGCCATATGTACAAAGCTGAAACTGGATCCCTTCCTTACACCTTATACAAAAATTAAGTCAAGATGGATTAAAGACTTACATGTTAGACCTAAAACCATAAAAACTCTAGAAGAAAACCTAGGCATTACCACTCAGGACATAGGCATGGGCAAGGACTTCATGTCTAAAACACCAAAAGCAATGGCAACAAAAGACAAAATTGACAAATGGGATCTAATTAAACTCAAGAGCTTCTGCACAGCAAAAGAAACTATCATCAGAGTGAACAGGCAACCTACAAAATGGGAGAAAATTTTCGCAACCTACTCATCTGACAAAGGGCTAATATCCAGAATCTACAATGAACTCAAAAAAATTTACAAGAAAAAAACAAACAACCCCATCAAAAAGTGGGCAAAGGATATGAACAGACACTTCTCAAAAGAAGACATTTATGCAGCCAAAAAACACATGAAAAAATGCTCATCATCACTGGCCATCAGAGAAATGCAAATCAAAACCACAATGAGATACCATCTCACACCAGTTAGAATGGCGATCATTAAAAAGTCAGGAATCAACAGTTGCTGGAGAGGATGTGGGGAAATAGGAACACTTTTACACTGTTGGTGGGACTGTAAACTAGTTCAACCATTGTGGAAGTCAGTGTGGCGATTCCTCAGGGATCTAGAACTAGAAATACCATTTGACCCAGCCATCCCATTACTGGGTATATACCCAAAGGATTATAAATCATGCTGCTATAAAGACACATGCACACGTATGTTTATTGCGGCATTATTCACAATAGCAAAGACTTGGAACCAACCCAAATGTCCAACAATGATAGACTGGATTAAGAAAATGTGGCACATATACACCATGGAATACTATGCAGCCATACAAATGAAGAGTTCATGTCCTTTGTAGGGACATGGATGAAACTGGAAACCATCATTCTCAGCAAACTATCACAAGGACAAAAAAACAAACACTGCATGTTCTCACTCTTAGGTGGGAATTGAACAATGAGAACACGTGGACACAGGAAGGGGAACATCACACTCTGGGGACTGTTGTGGGGTGGGGGAAGAGGGTAGAGATAGCATTAGGAGATATACCTAATGCTAAATGACGAGTTAATAGGTGCAGCACACCAACATGGCACATGTATACATATGTAACAAACCTGCACATTGTGCACATGTACCTTAAAACTTAAAGTATAATAATAATAAAATAAAATAAAAATAAATAAATAAATAAATAAATAAATAAAAAGTTATTGTTATCATGCCTTGCCACTAAATGTAGTTACAATACATAATTAAATTATTATCACAACATCACTACTAAAATATAATTTTTGCCTTCATAATTATGTTAGTTAAGATCTGTTTGCTACAGAAAACAAAAAGCCCTTGCAAGGTTTTGTTTGAAATATAATTTTACTATAAAAATACCACTCCCTAAAGAGAGCAAAACCACCTCCTGCTACTCCCCTCACCATACCGTGTTCTAGAGATTTCATCTTTTGTTTACGATGGATCATCATGAATCTAACTACTCTTTTTTACATACCCATAGAACTATTTTTAATTCATTATGTTTTGGCAGACTGGGGACTATAGATTTATCTCTTGATGAATCTATAACATTTTTAATGTGCCCTACTTGTTATAGAAATGTATTATACTTAAAACCTGTACTTTGCTCAGTGTCATATTTATAGCCTCAGCACTGAGAAAAGATACTCTCTAGATCAATTGTCCCATTTAAGCCCAAGGAATCTGTGAACTTTGCAACTAATCATGTTTTATTCTTTGCTTTGGTCTATAGGTAGCTCACAGGCAAATATACAGAAATGTGTAAGTATGTTTTCATTAATAACCTTGCCTTTTGGTTCATTTAATTCTTCTACCACTATTTTTCCCTTTTCCTGATATCTTTATTTCTTAACTCTGTTAGGTTGTACATTATTTTGTAAGCTATCCCAAATTGTTTTTAGAATAGAGTAGCATACTTTAAAAGTACACATTGAATAATTATTGAAAGTAATGTTTCCAATTAATTTTTTCTAATTAGGAGTGCATTTAAAAAATTAAATATTACATAAAGGAAAGGGGGAAAGAGCATGTTGACTGTGATGTTAAATTTCATATTACTTTATTTCATGTTTACCTTCTCAAGTCTTTTAGCTTTTATACTACAATTTATCAAAAAAGTTGATTAGTTTAATGAAAAAGAATACTGCTGGCCTTATGGAGTTGTCTTAGTCACCATCGTAACTATGTACGGTTACTGAAGAACATTTATAGAAAAAAACATTGGTTTAATATTTCTGCTTTAAGATTCTAAAATAGTATTCCACATTGAGGCAAATCCAACTGTCTTATTCCAGGAAAGTCCATGCATATGGCCTCTGCCAGCTTCTGAATAACAAAGGAGAAAAATGTGTAAGAATTAATTTCATGTTTACATAGCTTTTGCCTTTGGGTTTTTGAAGTGAAGCCACTACTGTTATTTGCAGGACTAGAATAACATCCATAAGCATGACTTACATTGGACTCATTTTGATAATTGTGGCTTATGCTGTGTCATTTAAAATGCTTCATTTGTTGCTGCTTCATCTCAACTGGGCCCTAGATGTGATACTGTACAGAGAGGTCAGGAATTGAATGACCCTAAAGTTGAATTCTCAGTAAGTCTAAACAAGTGAACAATTCATGACTATAGGCACAATGGCAAGTGCCTACACAATTCAAGTTGATAGATGGCTTATGAGCATAAACAGACAAGGAAGTAACAAAATAGCCAATCAGAACTTGGGGATTCCTGATTTTTCTGTAGCAGTTAATATAGCTTGTTATGTGAAACAAAAGGAGAGCAGAGCTTAATTCTTACTGTAGTGGCTAACATTGGCCACACTTTGATCCAGAGCACATGTTTAAAGTCTGCCTTAACAAGCAGTGGCTTGAAAGAAAAGCTTCATTTGAAGATGAATTCTCAGTAAATCATGAGTCTTGCACAAAGATCTGAAAAATCTATACTTGTTTCTGCATGGCAAGAGAGTCTGTGAATGTGGTGGTCCTCAAAAAAGAACATTGACTGTTGCCACTTTAGTCCAATGCATTGGGTCACCATCAATGATATCATCTTTTAAAAAAATAGACATGGAAGTGTATGCACACATATCAATAGATATGAATTTAAATCTCCATCAGTAATCTACATTAATTACCTTCTAGAAATTCTCGATGTTTAAACCAGTCTAATGAGGATTATATTATCTTTTTCATTTTACAGATAAAGAAACTGACTTCAGTAAAGATAAGTGAGTAGCCGAAAATCCCACTTAAAGAGGCAAAACCATATTGGAACCAATGTTACAATGAATCCTAGTAGGTAATTATTTTTCTCCCACTTATGTTGCTCCATTGTATGCTACATATTGTAGGTTACGACCTTTCTTTTTCGATTGGATTTTTTTTTCTGTTACTCTTATAAGCATGTGTACATCTGTCTCATCCTGATTCTGTGTCTTCTGAGGGCAATAGCTCAAATGTCACCTCATACTCCGTGCGGCTATATGGCCAGGTTCTCACCTCTCTTTTAGTCCTTATCACTTCGCTAAAGTGCTGTGTTTTCACATCTAGTTCTGATATAATATGAGTACCTGCAGGGCAACTGCCTCACAACATTCTCTCTGAATCTCCAGCACATGGACTGGTCCAAACAACACTTAAAAAAAAAAATAAAGATCCATTAATTCACATATTATTTCCATATAACAACTTGATTATTTGGACCTAGAAATTTGGAATTTGTGGATATTCCTAGCAAGGATTCAATAAGAAATGTTTGCATTCTATATGGAGCTTCTTGGAGAGGAAAACAGCTTCCTTTCTGTTCTTTACCTCATCCTCCAGCTGGACGTCTTTCTTTCAAGCTGGAAGAGTCTTCATCTCTCTCCTTCACGTAGGTACAGAATGGGAGGAGGTAAGGAGTTAGGTCTACCATGGCAATCAATAGAGTATCTGGATCAATAGTTTTATAATCTTCACTAGGCCATGCGCAGTGGCCCATGCCTGTAATCCTAGCACTTTGGAAGGCCACGGCGGGCGGATCACGAGGTCAGGAGATCAAGACCATCATGGCCAACATGATGAAACCCCGTCTCTACTAAAAATACAAAAATTAGCCGGGCATGGTGGTGCACGCCTATAGTCCCAGGAACTCAGGAAGCTGAGGCAGGAGAATCGCTTGAATCAGGGAGGCGGATGTTACAGTGACCTGAGATCCTGCCACTGTACTCCAGCCTGGGGGACAGAGCGAGACTCCATCTCAAAAAAAAAAAAAAAAAAGAATAGTTTTATAATCTGCACTAACAATATGTAAAAGCTCTCTAGCAAGACAAAATACTCAGCACACTCCAGATGGGTTACAGTTTTATCTCTTGAGTTGATCAATAGGCAATTCCCACAAGTTTAGAGGAGGAATCACTTACATATCAAAAGCTATGTCCCAAGGTTCTGACTTTCTCTCTACTCCCTGCATTTTCAAAAGGGATGATATTCTAAAGACTGAAAAATTGTTTTTGGGGGGAGCAAAAATATATGACATACACAAACAGATATACAGCATTTCTGTATTATTAAAATGTCCTACAGTAGGATGTTTGAAAAAATGTCAAAAGGCTCCTTAGGGAGCAATAGTGAAAACAAGTTTGAGAAATGCTGTTCTAACTCTAAATTTTCTTCATTCTCCATGGTATAATTTACCACAATTATCCAACAAATAATACATTTTGTAGTACAATAAAATTCTTAGATACAAAGTATATAATTGAGGTGACTCACAGATATGATTTATACCACCTAATCAAAAGTGCACACACACATTTAAAGTGTGAAACAATCACCTCCAGGTATTCTTGTTATAATTTACTTTATTTCAAAGGAAGATTTTAAAAGATAAATACATTTAAAACATAAAAGATTCTGCCTTATGTTGCCATCATATGGGCAATTCCATCATCCACCCATCAATCCAGTCTTCTTTATATCTTTGAACATATAGCCATTTTATCCTGTTGAACTCCAAGGTACAAGTACTCTAGCTTCTAGTCACTGTTTCTGGTGTCTTAGGCCACATCACACCATTGTCTGGTCAGCATCCCCTTGAAAAGGAGATTTCTAAAAGCTGTTTATGATTATCTCACATTGGAAGACAAGGAAACGATAGCAAATGTCTGTTTTATATGAAGTGAAACGACTTCACTTAAAAAAAAAAGCAAAAGTTTAACATGTTGTATTAATCAGCAAAACTCTGCTGCAAAATGTTTTAATTTTTGGTATTACTAAACTTTGTCTCCCTAGGCAGGATAGATTAGTTGAGCCAATAATAAGATCTCTACTTATAATTGATACGTCTGATGTGTAAATAAGCCACCAGCATGGCATTTCTTCATCTGAGGTAAGAACCCAGGGGAAGAAGGAAATTTGAGGACCAGAACCTTCTTTCAAACCACTAGAGCAAGGAGTGAGGAGGAGAGGATGGGAAGGGTACCATGGGGGACCAATCCCTAGTCAGGTTGGGACCTGTTTAAAGGCTTCCCTGAGACCCAGCTGAACCTCTAATCCTCTAGCAGAAGCCTTGGTGGAACAATGAAGCCATTGGCCAATCAGGATCATGTAACTTTGCATCCGGCTAACTTCGGATGCAAAATTGCCCCTGAGGGGATATCCCTGGAGTTCTGTCTCAGAAAAAGGAGGAGGAAATGGAGCTGAAGGCTCTTCTGATGCCTTTTATTTTTGTCCGCTGCATCTGACAGATGTATTACTTTTTCTTTATTCCCACAACTTGATTGAGAGCCAGATGTGATTCTTTTATGTGGGTCAAATAGAAATTTTCTTAATTCCTCTGGTTTATCCAAAGGCTCTCTATATAATACTTATCACTCCTCACAAACCATAGAGTCCAAGAACCATAAAGATTTAGGGCTGAAAGAGCATATAACATCATCTGGCTTCCCCAGAGCAAGAACTTCCCTTCTAACCAAGCTCCTTATTTTACAGATGAGCTCAGAAAGATTGCTTTCCTGAGGCTTCTTTTGTTAGCATGTCCAGATTCCGAATATGGGCTTACAGATTCCATGTTCAGCACTTTTTCTGAACTTGGATGTATCCTGCGTGCCACTCCCACTCATCAATTTCCCCTTACTCTCCAACCTGATTCTCCCGACCTATGACTCCCCTTTGAAGTTGTTCCCACCTGGCCCTTCCTCCATTTGGTATATCAACCTCGCTATCCTAAAAAGCACTACAGCATTGCTTAATTATCCATCAGGTGTCTCTGCCCTTGTCACTTAGCAGAAGCTGTCCTCACCTTTCCCTATCTGCATATGTTCTCTCTTTCCATTATAACCATCTCCCATTCTTCCAAATTGTTCTTACAAAGAACGCCAGTTACATTATGCCAACTCTACATTTCCTTTATAATCATTTTCTCACCAAACTCTAATTTTTTAAATACTCTTCTTAAAACATCATTCTAGTTCAACCATTGTGGAAGTCAGTGTGGCGATTCCTCAGGAATCTAGAACTAGAAATACCATTTGACCCAGCCATCCCTTTACTGGGTATATACCCAAAGGACTATAAATCATGCTGCTATAAAGACACATGCTCACGTATGTTTATTGCGGCACTATTCACAATAGCAAAGACTTGGAACCAACCCAAATGTCCAACAATGATAGACTGGATTAAGAAAATGTGGCACATATACACCATGGAATACTATGCAGCCATAAAAAATGATGAGTTCATGTCCTTTGTAGGAACATGGATGAAACTGGAAATCATCATTCTCAGTAAACTATCGCAAGAACAAAAAACCAAACACTGCATATTCTCACTCATAGGTGGGAATTGAACAATGAGATCACATGGACACAGGAAGGGGAACATCACACTCTGGGGACTGTTGTGGGGTCGGGGGAGGGGGGAGGGATAGCATTGGGAGATATACCTAATGCTAGATGACGAGTTAGTGGGTGCAGCGCACCAGCATGGCACATGTATACATATGTAACTAACCTGCACAATGTGCACATGTACCCTAAAACTTAAAGTATAATAATAAAAGAAAAAAAATCATTCATCAAATAGTCTAAGCTTCTATTACTCTCTCAGCCCTGGGGTAATCATTGCAGATAAAAAGAAAACATGGTTCACACTGTTTAAGAGCCCAGTTTTGAAATTCTCTCTCCCATTGACATCTTTCATTGCTCAATTTACTTACAACTTTTTCTCAAACTTTTTAACTCTCTTCTTACTCTGTCTAGCCCTTAAATGCTGCTGTTGTTTCCAGAGTACTGTTTATGAGTTTCTTTTTCTTCTCTGCTAAAAGAAACCTCTATTCTTGTCCTTATGTATACTCTTAACCTACCAATCTGGATTTCCAACTATCTATTAGACACTTCTACCTAATGGTCCTGAAAGCACTCACATTACAATGTCTAAAAATAACCCATTATCTTGCTACCTTCCCTCATCCTGTGACTTCTCCTCTAGTGTTCCCTGTCTGTCCTAAGACTATAATTGTCTAATATTTGCCAAGTCACTTAGACAAGAAACTGAGGAGGAATTTTTTATTTTTCCCTTTTCCTCCTCATATTCTATGTACAAATATTCAGTAAAAAACCCTGCAGAAACTGCTTCCTAAATATCTCTCAAATGTTTCTCTTTCATTCAAGTGTTACTGTCCTTGTTCAATGTGAAGTCCTCATTGTGTTTCATCTGCGCCATGGCATTGGCATCCCAAAGTCCCCTGTCTCCCTGTTCTAATCCACACACCCCTGTCCTGCCAGAATTATCTTCCTAAAACATAGATTTAATTGTATAAGTTTTATAGTTAAGAATTCCCCATATATATTTAAGTCTTGGTTTTATACCTTGATTCAAAGAAGATTTAAAATATCTCACAAAAATATGTGAAAATAAGACATTAAAAACAAAGAATTTAAAGTGGAAAAGCAGATGAAGTCACAGGTGAAGGTCGAGTCTACAAGTCCAGGCATTTTCTACTGACAAACACAGATTTGGCTTTGAAAAGACAGTCCAAAGAGCAAAAGATGACTTCTAATAATTATTCTTGCGTATGTTTGCTTCTTATGACAAATTGTACATTCCGAGTATAGTTATGTCTGCTTTCTGTTTAAGTTTTGTATTCACTAGAACTTCGTGTGCTACTTCATTAACATGGACAAAAGCACTGTCTTTAATTAAAATGAATAATTCCGCCTCATTAATATCTTGACATTCCTACCCTTCCTTATTCCTTATGGGTGTTTGCATAAATACTACACAATTAGTAAGTGCTAAATATGATATGTAAAAAACACATACCGAGTACTCTAATCTACCACCCCAACACATACACATATACAGTCAAACCATTGATCATAAATCAGTTTCTCCCTTGAGTTTTCACCTTGTGTTACACATCAGTTAGTCTTTCCACAAATGACCTTACCAGGTAACAGAGTTTTCCTTTGGAACTACATGATTTATTAGGAAAGATAGTCAAGATTGCCGATCAGGTAAGCACATTGTGGACATGGTATAACTGGATAAGCTCTTCTAGGAACAGAAGCACATGTTCTTAAAACAACAACTGCGCTAATAGTGTATGTATGTTTTGGAGTGGAATGGAAAGAGTGCATCTGGTATTCATTTGGAAAATAAATTAAAGGGAAGCTATTATTAGAGATTATAGTTTGCCTTCTTAACATTTATAAGCTTTCTGAAATTATTCTAGTTGTGGTAGTGAAGTGGCATACTTCTTTCTATTTTGAATAAAGGAGCTATAAGCATTTCTATTATGATCTTCATTTATGTATATGTTATTTATGTTTGTTGTGAGAGTTGATGTCTACAGCTAGGCAAAAATGACATTTCATGCATTTGTGCTGATGGATTTGGAAAGGGAAGAAACAAAGTTTTTCATGCTGAAGAATTAATGGTAGCCATATGATCTTTTCAACATTAATATGATTAACAGAGGATGGAGTACCGTTAGGTTTTATAAAGATACTCCATTAAAAGCATGAGGCTGGGCATACACTGTGCACAGCATCAGGTACTAATCACAGACACATACTTCGCAGGTTCTGGTGTTTCTGTTTAAAAGCTCTGCTGCCACAGCATCGTACAATCACTGCCTCGACATATTGTTGACAAGAACTGCCAAGCACCTCGCCTTCATTTCTCACACAAGAAAGCAACAGAGAGTTGGAAATAATCTTCAACATGACACCGATTATACTTTTTTCAGCTGGAGCACAGATACCCTTCCATTTGTACCCTCTTAGCTAACTCACAGATTTTTTTTTAAACATTCTTCTAGTTCTAGGAAATGCAAATAAAAGAAGAAATGTGTGGCTATGACACCATTTTAAACATGTGTCATCCATTCCATACTAAAACTCATGGTTTTGTTGAAGTTTGGGGTATCTCTTTTTTTCTTTGTTAACGTTTTAATACATAAAATAAAATGTAAGAGTGGACTTGTACAAACAAGAAAAAAGGTTATTTAGCATACTGTATGGATAGGTTTGATTTTCAACATGAAGAAAATGAGTTTCACTGAATATGTGCTACGTGGCTTACTTATGAATCTATAACTCGAGATGATTTCCTCTTAGTGTTGGGCATAATCAATTTATCCTCATCCTAATGGGAAAGTGAATTTCCCCAGTCTGAAACCTTCTTCTTTGTTTCCCAAAGCCAAGATTGTTCTTACTCTTTAGAATCGCTCTTCCAAATGTAGTCAATAGCATGTGTAGCCTTGGAAGTGGTATAGCAAAGTATCCTAGTGGGAAAGGAGACTCCAGGGCTTTGTAACTCAGAGCTTTTCATCCTTAAAACCTAGGCACTAGACACTAAATAATATGTAATTTGTACTTTTAATCCCACATATCATTTGTTGACTTCATTTGTTGACTGCATTTCCGTTTAAGATAATGAAAAATTCCAATACAAAGTAGCCTTTGTGAAAATCTTACAATAATTTTCCTACTACTACCTTTTAAATGAGGGATAATGTAGTATAGCCTTCTAACGACTACTGCTTTCTGCAATCAATATTATGAAAGTTTTCTTAATTATTTCAGATCAGATAGATGCATTAAACAATTACTCAAATCCAAAGATCTAGTGATAGTGAGTGGAAATAAATATATGAACAGGAGATCCCTAGATTTAATCCATGACCTGGACTGGACTGAAAGGAGTTTCTGTTTCCTGTCTTTTTACAAGTTAAAGAGAAGTTATAAGAGTGGCTGGTTGGGTGGGCTTAAATAATATCAATTTCCAAAATTATGAGTGAACACTCACATAAGTATCTGAGTAATTCAGCAACTTGAAACTATGTAACAGAACTGAAAAAAATATAACTGACATCATTCTATTTTGTGTCCTCTTAATTTGTAGGAATAAGTGGGTTTTAGAAATGAATTTAGGAAGATAATTGTGTATTTCATGTAACTGTAACACAAAAGTTTTTATCCCCTTTCCCCCCTTTTCTTGAAAGTCAATCTCAGACCATGTTCCATGTAGAGAAGTTTCTTCTAAATCAATGGCATGTATTTTCATAAGATATATAACGTATAGCTGTATTTCTAAATGTCAGAATTAACTCTTTTTTTGATGGATAGCTTTATTCCCTAGAAGTTTCTTGTTAATGTATCCTAACTCTTTAACTTTAGCTTATTTTAGAGTAAAAAATATTTTTCAAAAATTGATCAACTCTTACTATGCATTAGAAGATTACAATGGCACTTAATTTCCACTCTTTGTTGGTTATACAAATACATGGATGAGTTGGCCCTGAAGCCACCCACATCCTGGTACATACTACACACATCCCAACCTCCATTATGAAACACGAATCAAATCCACATCCTCTGTGCCACACATTGAAATCCTTGCCTTTTTTTAGCTAGTGTGTGTGTCAGCTCTTTTTTTTCTTTTTTTGTGAACTTGCAGCCTCAGATGTTAGTTAAGTTTTACTATTCTTCAAAAGCATTTATTTGAAAAACATGTGAATGGAAAATGAACATGCTCAACTAATTAGGATATGCAAATGTGGTTCGGTGGGACTGCTTTTTAAGTGAATCATGCTTATTTGAATACACAAATAAAAGAAAATTTGTTTCAGTAACAATCTGGAAGTTAGTTCATGTGGAACAAATAAGGGCTTAAATTATAGGGATTAGCTTTTCAGAATCTACTTTACACTTCACCTTTTTAATAGGAAATGTAGACTTGAGCCAGAGGCCCATCTTGTCATTGATGGAGGTTCAGTGAGCCACACAATACTTACCAAGTTCTTGCCCTCATTTAAAGTGAGGACTGAGAAAAGAGCTTTCTAAAGATTTATTTCTTTCTTTCAAGGCAGTTTATGGGCAAGCAGGTGCAGATCTATAACTATAAACCATAGCCACTTAAAATATTTTTCTAGTAAAAAATATTTTAAATCATGGACTTGAAAAGCAATACTTTGTTCATGATGCAGAAAGAACCACAAGTTATGCTAAAAGAAAGAAATCACATAAAAGAAAGGGAAAAACACATTAAAACGATAAAAAGAAATCAAGTCAAATGATGTATGGAGGAAATGGATTTGAGGATATTTCAAGACCCGAGACTACATCCCTAAAGAACCAATATTATATTTCATATTTAGGATTCATTTTACAAAGATAAGGATTGGGACTTATCAAGTCATGGTTAAATCAAGGAAAGAATCAAAGTGGTTGAAAATGTTAGTCTAGATCGCTTACCACTCAATCAATATAGGGGACATATGCAAATCAATAAATGTAATCCAGCATATAAACAGAGCCAAAGACAAAAACCACATGATTATCTCAATAGATGCAGAAAAGGCCTTTGACAAAATTCAACAACCGTTCATGCTAAAAACGCTCAATAAATTAGGTATTGATGGGACATATTTCAAAATAATAAGAGCTATCTATGACAAACCCACAGCCAATATCATACTGAATGGGCAAAAACTGGAAGCATTCCCTTTGAAAAGTGGCACAAGACAGGGATGCCCTCTCTCACCACTCCTATTCAACATAGTGTTGGAAGTTCTGGCCAGGGCAATTAGGCAGGAGAAGGAAATAAAGGGTATTCAATTAGGAAAAGAGGAAGTCAAATTGTCCCTGTTTGCAGAAGACATGATTGTATATCTAGAAAACCCCATTGTCTCAGCCCAAAATCTCCTTAAGCTGATAAGCAACTTCAGCAAAGTCTCAGGATACAAAATCAATGTGCAAAAAATCACAAGTATTCCTATACACCAACAACAGACAAACAGAGAGCCAAATCATGAGTGAAATCCCATTCACAATTGCTTCAAAGAGAATAAAGTACCTAGGAATCCAACTTACAAGGGATGTGAAGGACCTCTTCAAGGAGAACTACAAACCACTGCTCAAGGAAATAAAAGAGGATACAAACAAATGGAAGAACATTCCATGCTCATGGGTAGGAAGAATCAATATCGTGAAAATGGCCATACTGCCCAAGGTAATTTACAGATTCAATGCCATCCCCATCAAGCTGCCAATGCCTTTCTTCACAGAATTGGAAAAAACTACTTTAAAGTTCATATGGAACCAAAAAAGAGCCCGCATCGCCAAGTCAATCCTAAGCCAAAAGAACAAAGCTGGGGGCATCACACTACCTGACTTCAAACTATACTACGAGGCTACAGTAACCAAAACAGCATGGTACTGGTACCAAAACAGAGATATAGATCAATGGAACAGAACAGAGCCCTCAGAAATAACGCCACGTATCTACAACTATCTGATCTTTGACAAACCTGAGAAAAACAAGCAATGGGGAAAGGATTCCCTATTTAATAAATGGTGCTGGGAAAACTGGCTAGCCATATGTACAAAGCTGAAACTGGATCCCTTCCTTACACCTTATACAAAAATCAATTCAAGATGGATTGAAGACTTAAACATTAGACCTAAAACCATAAAAACCCTAGAAGAAAACCTAGGCATTACCATTCAGGACATAGGCATGGGCAAGGACTTCATGTCTAAAACACCAAAAGCAATGGCAACAAAAGCCAAAATTGACAAATGGGATCTAATTAAACTCAACAGCTTCTGCACAGCAAAAGAAACTACCATCAGAGTGAACAGGCAACCTACAAAATGGGAGAAAATTTTCGCAACCTACTCATCTGACAAAGGGCTAATATCCAGAATCTACAATGAACTCAAACAAATTTACAAGAAAAAAACAAACAACCCCATCAAAAAGTGGGCGAAGGACATGAACAGACACTTCTCAAAAGAAGACATTTATGCAGCCAAAAAACACATGAAAAAATGCTCACTATCACTGGCCATCAGAGAAATGCAAATCAAAACCACAATGAGATACCATCTCACACCAGTTAGAATGGCGATCATTAAAAAGTCAGGAAACAACAAGTGCTGGAGAGGATGTGGAGAAATAGGAACACTTTTACACTGTTGGTGGGACTGTAAACTAGTTCAACCATTGTGGAAGTCAGTGTGGCGATTCCTCAGGGATCTAGAACTAGAAATACCATTTGACCCAGCCATCCCATTACTGGGTATATACCCAAAGGACTATAAATCATGCTGCTATAAAGACACATGCTCACGTATGTTTATTGCGGCATTATTCACAATAGCAAAAACTTGGAACCAACCCAAATGTCCAACAATGATAGACTGGATTAAGAAAATGTGGCACATATACACCATGGAATACTATGCAGCCATAAAAAATGATGAGTTCATGTCCTTTGTAGGGACATGGATGAAATTGGAAATCATCATTCTCAGTAAACTATTGCAAGAACAAAAAACCAAACACCGCATATTCTCACTCATAGGTGGGAATTGAACAATGAGATCACATGGACACAGGAAGGGGAACATCACACTCTGGGGACTGTTGTGGGGTGGGGGGAGGGGGGAGGGATAGCATTGGGAGATATACCTAATGCTAGATGACGAGTTAGTGGGTGCAGCACACCAGCATGGCACATGTATACATATGTAACTAACCTGCACAATGTGCACATATACCCTAAAACTTAAAGTATAATAATAAAAAATAAATAAATAAATAAAACCAAAAAAAAGAAAAAAAACAGAAGGCTAGAAGAATACTTAGGAGTCTACTGCAATAATCTAGATAAAAGAAAATTGGGTAATAATCAAATTTCAGAAAGGGAATCTATACAACTAGAAAGAATAGAAGGTGAGAATGACTACAAGGTTATCTGGGGTAATGGAACTCATTCTCATAAGTTTGTTAGTTTGGCTGATGTGGAGAAGAGGAGATGGTGTTTCAGGGGAGACCTAATCAAAACACCATCTTGATTTTGCACTGATCAAGAGACTATCTAGCTCTGATAACTATTGCTAGTATGAGAATTGCCAAATTCTTTAATCCATGTAGACTGTTTGGCATAATTTCCATCACACCTTTGAATTTTCTGATGGAGATACATGCATAAAAACAAGGCCAGCTACGGTTGTTACTTGTCACTGGATCAGATTAGGTTTAAACCCTTATGTGGAAACCTACCATATGACATGTCTGAACCAATGGGATTCTTTTTGCCTGCATTAATGGTAGGCCTAATCTGCTTACATGACTATGCCTTTATTTGGATTTACACTTAAAATGTCTCAAAGTGGAAACCTGTCCTGAATGGTAATCATTCCCAGGCTTGTCTCATCATGTCAACCACAGGTAGTTCCAAAGAGAGAATTAGAACATAAAATGAACAACAAAAACAAAAATCAGACCCAAATAAGTGAATGAAGACACATTGACAAATGGCTTCGAGAGCCTTTTAACACTTTTTTTTGTTATCAGAACAGAACTTCCAATAGTAGCACCGTGAATTAATGCTTGATCTTCATTCTTTCACAGATTCTTTCTCTTAGGTATCCTGAGGGGCTTCCCTTCAGGAACCAGAGGACTAGTGATGGGTTGAGAAGCCTTAGGGTCTAAGCTAAAACTATAATGTATTGTTCTACCCCAGGCAACTGGGAAGAGGAAAGCCAGAAGTACAAGGACAGCTTATAGTTGTTTAAAAGTTTTCAAGGTAAAGCTCAGCAGTGGGTTTGAGAAGAAGACACAGCCAGAGACAGGTATAATCAAGTTAGAAAGGCATCAAAGAGAAGTGAGCAAGTTTCCTGAAAATAAACATAAGTGGAGACATAGGATTTGCACCATTTAAATGCCAGAGCAAGGACCATAGAATTTTAGACAGGCTTAAATGTAGAAATTAAGGAAAAAACTTAGAACATAGAGATATCATTTGAACTCAAGGTAGAGTTTCAAGAAATCATTCTACATTTGATATGTTTCCATGACATTCATATAGAAATTCCAACACTAAAATAAAAACAAGCATATGAAATGTAAAAAGTAAAATTTAAATGGTAGATGTAGGGTTAAGAATTATTCATAGATGATAGAGGACATAGAAATGAATGACGTTGAGTGGAAAAAGAAAAAAATTATATATTTTATTTCTGTCTAATAGGATATGGATTGTATATTATATTTTAATCATTTATCTGAGCATGACTGAAAAAAAAAGAAATCCCTAATCCTTGGTTTAGGGATTAGCATATAGATATAGCTCTCTGCACACTGGGAATTCTGTGGTGATGAATATATAATTCTACACGCAGTCAATCATACTAAAATAATAGGGATAGGGAAATGGGTGTAGACCCAATCTTAAACCTTACCTGCAAAATTGGGTGCTAAATGGGCATTTAGGGTTTTAAATGTATATATATATATATAAATTCGAAGTAATGATCAGAGAAGAACAACACTTTAATTCTACTGTGTCCCAGACCAGTAGATGAGCTCAATATGTATTCCTGTGCAGCAAACTCAGGATTTTCAGAGCACCATAAAAGCTTTTTATTGTACACTCCAATGCTGTCATCCGCAGTTAGCTAACAAATATGATAGGTTTTTAATATAATCCACTCCGTCTTTGCCAGTGCTCCTTGTATGTTACATCATCTTTATACGGGCCAAGAGTTTGTTTTCCCCAGATGGCCTTCGTGAAGCTGCTGACAGCCCTTCTGACTGAGAAACTGTAGAACAGCAATCTTCCAATTCATTTAGTACTACTGACAAAGAGAGAGCTGTTGATATCCTGATGCAAAAGCACTCTATCAGGCATTACATAGTGTCTGTGTTCTCAGCATGTTTTGGGCGTGATAAGTCATAGCACATGCTTTTTGACATCTTTCTGCATTTCACTGCTGTGTAGAGTTTCCTGGAGTTGAAATCAGGGTGACAGAATGTAAAAAGCCAAGTGTGACATCATCAGCAACTGGTAGCAGTCACTGTATCATAAATAATACTTTGCAGACGTGTCAAAAATTAAGTTGCAAGAAGTTCATCATAATTTCTTTGAAGAAAATTTGAAATACATGGTTTTACTTATTTCCACACACCGATTTTACCCAAGTAGAGATGAAGTACAGAAATATCTTTAACTTAATGTTTTGTATTAAGTTAAAGGAAAAACCATTTGGTGAGTCTGCTCAGCGAATGGGCTAGAGTTTTTGTTGTTTTTTTTTTTAAACAATTGAAAAAAAATTGTTTTTTGTCTTTTTTATAAATAGTTTTTTCCTTTAAAGTGAGATCACATATCAGTGACTATAGGTCCCACAAAGCAATGGGTGGCACTGCACAGGAGGTGGCTCTGCTGCGGATGGAATGTCTCCTGATTATGATTACGTCTTGGTATTAATAAGGACGGCAGCTGCAGCAATCTGTTCAATTTTATGCAAATTAGCTCTGGCCCTCTGGCTTCTGGCTGGTGGCCAAGACAGCCTTTGGCTGGGTAAAGTTAGGATTTATGCTTTATTCTACTGCTGCAAAGGTTTATTTAATTATCTGTATTTATTTAAAGCAGAACAGTACAAAGCAATTCTGCATTTTGGTCAACTTTGTGATGGCTGAATTGTGTGGGATTTCCCACCCACCCACAAGCTAGTTTGAATCATTGAATATATGAATCATCTAATATGTCCCTAAAGAATAAGAAGGGTTGACTCTTCTCATTACTTTCTTTGGTAATAAAGGGCTCAAGGTGATTTCTCCTCACTGTACCTTTGAAGGCCTGTGAAATCAAATAATGCAGAATAGCTGACATAGTAAAACTTCACTAGCTGGAATTAGGTGAGGGAGACCACCTGAATAAAGGAACATTATATAATATTTGTAAAGAAATGCATAACTACTATTTCCAAATATGTATACCTAACAACCCAAAAGGATCTAGCAAGCTATGGTCAAGCAGGTATTCTCCTATGCCTGTTTTCATGTATCCATATAATTATTTGTAATTATCTCAATTTTTATATATCTGCTATGTAAAATATTTAAAATAATTTTTTATCGTGTATGAATTAATTATTCCCTTTACAGGTTTATAGTAAAGCTAATTGGTGTGACAAACTGATTTTTTACTGAAGAGTATATACAGGAACTTGAGCTCAGCTCATGTCTTAAATTTCAAACATCAGAATTAATGAAGTTATGGGAAAATTTAAATATGTTTTTAATGGCCACCTATAATTCATCAATTTCATATGCCGTAAGGTAACATGAAACATGGCTTGGCACCCATTTCTGAACTTGCTTTATATATTTTATTATAATTGTCTTTGTGATCTTTTTTGGTTTTCATAAATTCACAGTTTCCATAAATACCATTAATTAAATATTTCATAAGACACTTGGGATGTGAGAATCTTATATCCTATTTTATCAGCTAAATCATCTGCAATCAAATTTAAAGCCACAAAAAATGTAGGGATAGCACCCACCACCTTCAGCTACTTGTACTAAGATTTCGGCATTAGATTGTTCCTTCTTTCTGTTAATCTAGGCTCTTATGGGCCTTCTTTTATTTTAAGCACAGATTCAGCTGACAGCCAGCACTTGTTCTGGTTTTGAATCAAATGCTGGCAGTGTTCCCAGAATATGAACCAGTTGTTTCTTTTACACACTCTCTCATTGTCCCTCACCATCCCAACTGCTTTCAAAGCAACGTGCCATAACCAAACTTACACTTGCTTTAATGAGAATTAAAGTGCATGAATCAAAGCAATGCTTCCCGTGTGAGCACTGACTATCTCTGGGGTAAATTAGGACAGTTGATACGCAATGTAATAGAAGAAAATGACAAAAATAAACTTGGACAAAAGGCATCTCCTCTTTCAAACTGAAGCACAGAAATTATGTGTATATAAACAAGTTTTCCCTGAATCATTTATTTCCCCATTATTTTAGCTATTGGAAGTATGATCTAAAAATTATCCTATAAAGGCACCAATAGCAAATCCTCCACTTTCATCTTTACACATACTACTCTTTTATTTTTCTGGTAATTACCTGCATCTTATTTTCAATTACCCATCCTCTTTATTGCTAAAATACATCTTTAATGTGACAGTATTTCTGCTATTATGGTGAAGTAGAATGTTATCTATGTCTGTGCTAGGCCCTGTCCAATGATACTACTTTCTAACGTTCTGAGAGGGTGTTTTATTCCAGGCATTCCTGAGCAAGCAGTTGAAGGTCAATATAAATATGGGGTCCTACTATGACAATCTGTATTTATACCACAGTGCTAAAAATTAATCATTATTTCAAATAAGGAGATTTTAGGCATCTAATCCTTTCATATTGTGAAAAAGACCACCTCATTTTGCTTTTGAAAAATGCTAATTTTAGAATGTGCACATTTATAAAAAAAGTAAACAATAGAAATGCATAATAAAAGAGGACTGATTAAATAAGTTATGGTACATTTAATATATTATTATACAGACATAAAGCTATTAGCATGGAAAAATTGTGATATTTTATAAATTGAAAATAGTGAGTTATATTTGTTTCACATCCACACAAACACGGACAACTGAGAGATATACATATCTGCATCAGGGTTACATATTTATACTTTGCTACACAGATGGGAAATAACTTTATTTTATGTAACTGATCTATTTTCCTATTTCCTTTGCTGCTGAGCCGTAGGAAATAAATGTAGGGATAAGTTAAGTTGCCAGTAACAGTACAGCTGACTCTTGAACAATATGGGGTTTAGGGGTGCCTAAACCCCACATTTTTTACTGTTTTTGCAGTAAAAAAAAATCTGTGTACAACTTTGGACTCCCTCAAAACTTAACTACTAATAGCCTAGTGTGGACAAGAAGCCTTGCTGATAACATAGTAGATTAACACATATTTTGTATGTTATGTGTATTATATAGTATATTCTTAAAGTAAGCTAGAGAAAAGAAAATGTTAAGAAAATCCAAAGAAAGAGAAAATATATTTACTATTTATTAAGTGGAAGTGGATCACCATAAAAATCTTCCTTCTCATCATCTTCATGTTGAGTAGGCTGAGAAGGAGCAGGAAGAGGAGGGGTTGGTCATGTTGTCTCGGGTTGGCAGAGACAGAAGAGGTGGAAAAGGCAGAAGGGGAGTCAGAGGCAGGCACACTAGGTATAACTTCTATTGAAAACAATCCACTTACAAGTGGACCTACACAATTCAAAGCCATCTCTCATTCAAGGGTCAACTGTATTTTATTTTAATTTTTCTTATTTAATATTCCATCAAAAGATATGGTATCTTTGTGGTAAATGCTTTTGTTTTTTTGAATTTCCATATACTTCCTCCACGCTCATGCCCACTGATTTTCTCTGGATGACAAGAGGGTGACTGGGAGATTTAATGCTTTTCTGGCTGTTGAGAGGAAAGGCCTCATTTTCCCAGTGGCTTTTGATCTGTGCTAATTTGTGTATCTCATTTCTTTCTGCCCTTGTACTTGTGTTTATTAAAGAGGGGCTCCGTCTTTACTCTCAGGGTTTTATGCTAGTACCAACCATTCAACTTAATGGCCCTGGCCACTCATATCTAGTCTCCAAGTCCCTGATCATTATGCTCCTTGGCTCCACTAGTGCCAAGCCAACCTAACAATTTTGTGTTCCTTCAAGGAGGCTAATTGGTATTTCTGGGTACCAGCTAACCTTCTAAAGTTCAAAGAAGGCAGAAATCCTGTGTCAGGCTCACCTCCCTCTGCCAATGTCATGCTACTAGTCATCTTGTTGGTTTTGGTACCAAACTGAAGTTTTGCCTCTTCTAGCAACTTGCATCTTTCCTTGTATGGGCATTAGAAAGTTGATACTAGCTCTAATGTCCTCAAGATTGGCCTGTGCCAATTTGAATGATTCAATGGCATTCTCCTTCAATGATAGTCCAAGAAAAAAAAAACAATAAAATACGAGCACTTGATAAATTCCTCTTTCCTCATTTCTTCTTTCCATACTTCCCTAGACCAGAAGAGGTGGACTTTACAGTTTCTCTTCCTCTCTAGAAGGGGCATTCTCTATCCCTGGGGGCATTAAAGCTCACAGGTTAACCTTAATAATGTATACTCCCTACACAGATAGGTAATACTCTTGATAGCAAAGCAGTACTGTGTCTTAGTCTGCTTTGTGCTGCTACAACAGAAGAGCACCGACTGGGTAATTTTAAACGAACAGAAATTTACTGATTCGCCATTCTGGTGGCTGGGGAATCCAAGATCAAGGGGCCGGCATCTGGTGAGGGCTTTTTTGCTGCATCCTTCTAATGTGGAAGGGCAAAGAGAGAGTGAGAGAGAGAGAGACAAAAGGGGAGCAAACTCATTATTTTACAGGAAACTCATTCCTATTATAACAAACCCAGTCTTGAGCCCTCATAGCCTAATCGTTTCTTAAACTTTCCATCATACAACACTGTTCATTGAGAATTAAGTACATGCTTTTTGGGAGACATATTCGAATGCAGTACTTGCTTTTTGGGAGACATATTCGAACCATAGCAACTAAGAACTAGGGATTCCTAAGAAAAAAAGCACATTGTTTACATTAGAAGTTCATTAGCCCTGTTATATAGAGGCATGCTTACATATATATTTATATACATATTTACATACATATACATACATACATATATAACAGATTGGTATATTATGAAATACACATTATAAAATAAAGAGTAGTTTCCATTTTTGTATATTTATATGATTTTTTGTTTTATAATATACCAAATATTATTTAACCTGGGTGACAGGATTGAGTGATTTTTGTTTTCTTTCATCATACTTATTTTTATATACTAAAATTTCCTAAAATTAGTACACATTTTTAATAATAAAATAATTTATTGAATAAGAAAGTGCATATTTGATAAACATCAGACATCAGTCTAAGAATTTGTTCTAATTTGAGTAGCATCTTCCATAATATTTAAAACATTTCTGAGGCCAGGCGCAGTGGCTTACGCCTGTAATCCCAGCACTTTGGGAGGCCAAGGCAGGCAGATCACAAGGTCAGGAGTTCGAGACCAGCCTGACCAACATGGTGAAACCCCGTCTCTACTAAAAATACAAAAATTAGCTGGGCATTGTGGCGGGCACCTGTAATCCTAGCTACTAGGGAGGCTGAGGCAGGCGAATCACTTGAACCCGGGAGGCGGAGGTTGCAGTGAGCTGAGATCATGCCGTTGCACTCCAGTCTGGGCAACAAGAGCAAGACTCCGTCTCAAAAAATAAATAAATAAATAAATAATAAAACATTTCTGGTAAAAACATCAACAAAATAATTACTATAAAAGTTTAACTTAAAAATTTCCATGAGTTTGAGTGTTTAAACTATTTCTCAGAGTGTATATGCTAAGTTGGTTATATCTCACATTTAGCGGAGACAGCCAATTATATTTAGCATAGACAGTTCTTTATGTAGAAACTGAAGCTCTGAGGTAGTTACCTATAAATAATGCTAAGTGGTTTCTCTAACCTTGGGTAGAGCTCTCTGCAGGGATTATTAGTCACCTGAACTTGGCCTTAATGGGCAATTGTCAAGAATATTAAGTAATGTGTACCAAAGCTACCAACAGCTGATCTGCACGTGGAGTTCTGCATGTGTTCAGCGTCTACAGTCTGAAAAATCACAACACATCTTGTCAATTTCTTCCCCTAGAAACACACACACATTTAATTGGATCAAGACCTCTAAATGCTTTAGTCTTGAAACAAAATAGCCCTGATATAAAGGTTTTATTTCCCATTTATTCCTCTTGGACTGATGGCTTAAATTCTGTAAATGAATGTGCAGACTATCACAACAGATTTATTCTGTGTATGAGTTATACATTGAAAACAAGTCTTCTTAAAATTTGAAACTAAGTTTAATGTGCATATTGAAACATGTTAAGTTTGCTATATTTAATCATTATTTATTTTTAATAGTAAGAGCTGAAGCTAATTCTAAACTTAGCTAAGTGCTCAGTCTCGTGGAAGGTCTTTGAAGTCAGGCTGAGAGATGTGTTTATGGATATTAAATAGCAGTGCAGAGCTTTGTTGAAAATAAGAAATATTTTTATTCTCTGATCTCAGAATACATTAACATATATAGCTGTCTGCCATATAGATATCTTGCAGAATATTACACTATTTCATTTTGATACAAATTCTAGTTTTAAAAAATACAGCATTATTTTCAGCAATTATTTGAAAATTCACTTTACTGAGTATTTGCAGATCATCTTATATTTCATGGAAAACCATCTCTGTGAGATCATATGGAGATGCTGAAGTAAAAATTAGTGTAGGCTGTAGGAAAGCAAAGCTTGATCTTACAAACCTCTGTCTTCTACTTTAGTGTGCAACAATGATTATCTGGCATTTAAGCACTGTGTTAAGTGGAATGATATTTCTCTGAATCCAATATTTGCACTATTATTTGGACAGAGTTTTTTTGCTGTTCAGTATGCCATCTCGAAAATAAGTCTATTATTCCTGGGTGGTCACTGTAAATATAGCTTCAAGCATATAAAATATAAAAAGCATGCATGAAATATGCCAGTATATTAAATTAACATCTTGCAAAAAGCCCCTCTCCAAAATCCAGATGCTTATATTGCTTTTGACAGACTGTAGGCGGTAAAGTTTTAACTTTAAAGAAGGGGTTCTCTGTTTCTGTTTTCAAGTTAAAAATAATGAAAGGAAAACACACTGAAATTCCCACATTATTAAATAAAACATTTAAGTGGCCAAGGGCCAATCATTGTCACGCCATGAACAAATGCCTTACGGTAATATGTTCCATAACTGTTTGCTAAAAACTACCAATTTTAACACATTTGCACATGATTAGACACCATAAAAAGTTGCTTATTGAAGCCAGTGTCATAACACTGTTACTCATGCCCAAGGGGAGGGAAGCTTCAACGCAAACCTGAACAAGAAAGGTGGTGGGAAATAAGTTCCACGTTGTGAAAACAGATCATAAGTAGATTTGCCAAATGGCTGACTCCATTCGATGGTCACAAGTTCATAACATCACCATCACAAGACTGTGCAGAGCTAAAAAAAAGTTTTAACTGAGGAGCTTTTCTAAGCAATTAAAATATGCAAAAGTGGATGATTAAAATTAAATGTTTGAGAGATCTGTTTGACCTTACACATTTCCATATTTGGAAAATAAATGCTTTATGGAAAGAGAAAATTTAGGTTTGTTTAATGCATGTGAGCTCCCCCCTACCAAAAAAAGAAAAAGGAAAAGAAAAAGTAAACTTGTATCATATCTAACAATTAATATGCTGAGACAAAACAAAGCAGAACGCATTTTTCAAGTTTTAATATGATCAGAAGTTATGCTATCATAAAAACCAAATAACGATAGAAAACTGAAAGCCTAATCCAAAATCTACTGTGTGAAATAATGTTCTTGAGGAAATTTGACTGACTTATCATTGAATTGTTTACAATCTGTCCCCAATCCTTATCCACAATTCTGATAAGCTGACAAAAATTCTGTTTTTAAGTTTGCAGAAATCTCATTTGTCAGCAAACTTATCCTAAACTGACATGAGGACATATATGGTATTTAATTATGTTACATAACAAATAATTATTTATAGAAAACATATGCATTTAATTAAGGATCACTGCCCTTGCCTTCACTGGGAGCGTTATGTAATAGAAAATATCTGCCTGTATTACTTTTCAAAATGCCAAGCAATTCTGAATGTAGAAACACCTATAGCCCCATATGGGTTATACGTGCTTCTACATACAATGGTGTACCATACACATACACATGCACACACTATAATTTGTGTAATGTAAAATATTATATATAAAATATGATATAATACATATTGATATAAAATATATACATTACCAGATTCAGAAAAAGAGCAACAGCATGACTTGAGACAACACTTTACTTATATTAAGATAAATGTTTAGAAAGTGAAATTACATTAGAAATTAAATAGCACAACCTTATTTTTCAGATGTTGGGGCTGTGTGTAGAAAAGTGACATGATTGGCCCAAATTCAAATATCTGGTAGAGTCAGAATAATCAGCCCTGAAACTAAAGTTTCCTCCTTTCCAGGTTAGAGCTTTTTCCTACTACACCATGCAACATTCTCTTCTTGGGTCAAGAGCTGCACTGTCCAACAGAAATATGTCAGCCACATATGAAATTTAAAAATTTCTAGGAGCCACATTAGTTGATGATAAAATTTTTATTCAACTCAATGTACTCAACATGTTATTTCAAAATATAGGCAACATAAAAAAATTAATGAGATATTTTACATTCTTTTTTTCTTCCTAAGTCTTCACAATGTAGTATGTATTTTATATTGAAACCACATCTCACTTTGAACTAGCCACATTTCTAGTGCTCCATAGCCATATGTGACAAGTGGCTATCAAGTTGAATAGTGCATTTCTAGAGTATCTAAAACTGAAATGAAGATTCCACTTTTGGGGTGAAGAAAACTGACAACCTTGGAAAAACTAGGAACAAATCAACTATTATTCTGCTCGTTGTTGATTGTTATTGCTATTATAATAATTGTTGGAAAAGTCAAGTGCTCATATTTACAAAATTAAGATGAGATCGAAATATGGTATGTATGTTAGTTACTGGAGCTGCCATAATAAAGTATCGCAAATTGGGTGGCTTAAAACAACAGAAATATATTGTTCCACAGCTCTGGAAGCTAGAAGTCTGTGATCAAGGTGTTGGCAGGGTCCTGCGTCCTCTGAAATCTGTAGAGAAATCCTTTCTTGCTTCTTCCTAGCTTCCTTGGCATTGCTTAGCTTTCAGCTGCATAACTACAAGCTTCATCTTCATTATGACATGACGTTCTTTCTGTGTGTCTCTATCTTCACATGGCTGTCTTCTGAAAAGGACACCAGTCATATTGATTATACCATTCATACTGGAATGGGGCCCACCCAGTTCCAATATGACCTTATCTTAACTAATTTCATCTGCAAGAATCTTATTTCCAAATAAGGTCACATGCTGAGGTACTGGGGTAGAGGACTTCACAACACAATTCAACCCATAAGAGTATGTGTTTGTTGAACAGCTAGTGAAAAACAAACTGACAAAAAGACTTTTTTATAAACAAAATTTTATTAAAGTGATTCAGAATTTATGTTAAATAATGTATATATAGTTAACATTATAAGGATATTAAGCATACACATTTTACTTTTTAACATTTTATTTTTGTTTTGTTAATTATCATAGATTTAGAAGCACAAATACAGTTTTGTTACATGGATATATTTCATAGTGATGAAGTCTGGGCTTTCAGTGTAAACATCACCCCAAAAATATGCATGGTACCCAATAAGTAATTTCTCATTCCTCACCCTGTCCCACCCTTCACAACTTTTGGAGTCTCCACTATCCCTTATTCCACTCTCTGTTCATGTGTACACATTGTTTAGCTTCCACTTATAAGTGAGAATATGTGGTATTTGACTTTCTGGGTTATTTCACTTAGGATAATGACCTCCAGTTTCAACCATGTTGCTGCAAAAAACTTGATTTCATTTTTTATGGCTGCATAGTATTCCATAATATATATGTATGTTTCCTTTATCTAATCATCCATTGACAGACACTGAGGTTGATTTCATGACTATGCTATTGTGAATACTGCTGCAATGAACATACAAGTGCAGGTGTCTTCTTTTTTTTAACTTTTAGGTTTGGGGGGTACATGTGAAGGTTTGTTACATAGGTAAACACGAGTCACGAGGTTTGTTATGCAGAGTATTTCATGACCCAGGTATTAAGCCGAGTACCCAATATTATCTTTTCTGCTCCTCTCCCTTTTCTCACCCTCCCCCATCAAGTAGACCCCAGTGTCGGTTGTTTCCTTCTTTGGGTTCAAAAGTTCTTATCACTTAGCTCCCACTTACAAGTAAAAACATGCAGTATTTGCATGCATGTGTCTTTATGGCAGAATAATTTATATTATTCTGGGTATACACCCAGTAATGGGACTGCTGGGTCAAATGGTAGTTCTGCTTTTAGCTCTTTGAGGAATTGCCGTACTGCTTTCCACAATGGTTGAACTAATTTGCAGTCCCACCAACAGTGTATGAGTGTTCCCTTTTCTTGGCAACCTCACCAGCACCTGTTATTTTTTGACTTTTTAATCATAGCCATTCTGAGTTGTGTGAGATGTGGTTTTGATTTGCATTTGTCTAATGATCGGTGATACTGAGCTTGTTTTCATATGCTTGTTGGCTGCATACATGTCTTTTTTTGAGGAGTGTCTGTTCATGTCCTTTGGCCACTTTTTAATAAGGTTGCATTTTTTTCTTGTAAATTTGTTTAAGTCCCTTATAGACGGTGGATATTAGACCTTTGTCAGATGCATAGTTTGCCAAAATTTTCTTCCATTCTGTAGGTTGTCTGTCTACTCTGTTGATAGTATCTTTTGTTGTGCAGCAGCTCTTAAGTTTAATTAGATCCCATTTGTCAATTTTGCTTTCATTGTGATTGCTTTTGGTGTCTTTGTCATAAAATATTTGCCTGTTCCTATGTCCAGGATGGCATCGCCTAGGTTATCTTCCAGGGTTTTCATAGTTTTGGGTTTTACATTTAAGTCTTTAATACATCTTGAGTTGAGTTTTGTATATGGCATAAGGAAGGGACCCAGTTTCAACCTTCTGCATACAGGTAGCCAGTTATCCCAGCACCATTTATTGAATAGGTAGTCTTTTCTCCATTGCTTGTTTTTGTCAGCTTTGTTGAAGATTAGATGGCTGTAGGCGTGCAGCCTTATTTCTGCACTTTCTATTCTGTTCCATTGGCCCATCTGCCTGTTTCTGTGCCAGTTCCATGCTGTTTTGGTTACTATACCATTATAGTGTAGTTTGAAGTCAGTTAACGTGATGCCTCCAGCCTGGAGCTTTTTGCTTTTAGCTTTGGCTATCCAGGCTTTCTCTTGGTTCCATATGAATTTTAAAATAGTTTTTTCTAATTCTGTGAACAATGTTGTTGGTAGTTTGATAGGAATAGCATTGAATCTGTACATTGCTTTGGGAAGTATAGGTAGTATAATGATATTGATTTTTCCTATCCATGACGATGGGATGTTTCTCTACTTCTTTCTCTCTTCACTTATTTCTCTGAGGAGTGTTTTGTAATTCTCATTGTAGATATATTTGACCTCTCTGGTTAGCTGTATTTCTAGGTATTTTATTCTTTGTGTGACAATTGTGAATGGGATTACCTTTCTGATTTGGCTCTCAGTTTGGCTGTTGTTGATGTATAAGAATGCTAGTGATTTTTTGCACATTGATTTTGTATCCTGCAACTTTCCTGAAGTTGTTTATCAGCTGGATGAGCTTTGGGGCTGAGGCTATGGGGTTTTCTAATTATAGAATCATGTTGCCTGCAAACAAAAATAGTTTGACTTCCTCTCCTTCTATTTGGATGCTCTTTATTTGTCTTGTCTGATTCCTGTGGCTAGGACTTCCAAATACTATGTTGAATAGAAGTGGTGAGAGAGGGCATTCTTGTCTTGTGCTGGTTTTCAAGGGAAATGCTTCCAGCTTTTGCCCATTCAGTATAATGTTTGCTGTGGGTTTGTCATGTGTGGCTCTTATTATTTTGAGGTATATTCCTTCAATATCTAGTTTATTGAGAGTTTTTAACATAAAGCAGTGTTGAATTTTATTGAAAGCCTTTTCTGCATCTATAGAGATAATCACATGGTTTTTGTCTTTAGTTCTGTTTATGTGATGAATCACATTTATTGATTTGCTTATGTTGAACAAACCTTGCATCCCAGCAATGAAGCCTACTTGATCAAGGTGGATTAGCTTTTTGATGTATTGCTGGATTTGGTTTGCAAGTATTTTGTTGAGGATTTTTGCATTGATGTTAATCAAAGATATTGGTCTGAAGTTTTCTTTTGTGTGTGTCTCTGCCAGGTTTTGGTATCAAGACAATGCTGGCCTCATAGAATGAGTTACGGAAGAGTCCCTCTTCCTGAATTTTATGAAATAGTTTCTGTAGAAATGGTACCAGCTCTTCTCTGTACCTCTGGTAGAATTTGGCTGTGAATTTCTCTGGTCCTGGGCTTTTTTTTGGTTGTTGTTGTTATTGGTAGGCTATTTATTCCTGATTTAATTTGGGGACTCATTATTAGTCTGTTAAGAGATTCAATTTCTTCTTGGCTCAATCTTGGGAGGGGTTATGTGTCTAGAAATTTATCAATTTCTTCTACATTTTATAGTTTGTGTGCCTAGAAGTTTTTATAGTAGTTTGTGATGGTTATTTTTATTTCTGAGGGGTCAGTGGTAACATCCCCTTTGTCATTTCTCATTGTTTTATTTGGATCTTCTCTCTTTTCTTATTAATTAATCTAGCTGGTTTTCTATGTGTTTGATTGATTTTTTCAAAAAACCAAACTCTTAGGTTTGTTGATCTTTTGAATGGTTTCTCCTGTCTCAGTTTCCTTCCATTCAGCTCTGATTTGTGTTATTTCTTGTCTTCTGCTAGTTTTGGGATTGATTTGTCCTTGCTTCTCTAATTCTTTTAGTTGTGAAGTTAGATTGTTAATTTGAGATCTTTCTAACTTTTCTATATGGGTATTTAGTATTATGAATTGCCCTCTTAACATCACCTTAGCTGTGTCCCAGATATTCTGGTAGGCTCTATCTTTGTTCTCATTATTTTTAAAGAACTTATTGATTTCTGTCTTAATTTCATTATTTTTCCCCCAAATTCAGGAGTATGTTGTTTAATTTCTATGTAATTGCATGATTTTGAGTGATTTTCATAGGCTTAACACTGGTTAAGACCTCTTTTTGGAGAACTGGTGCAGTTATTTACAGGATATATGACACTCTGGCCATTTGAGTTACCCAAGTCCTTGCATTGATTCTTTCTCATCTCTGGCTGTGGGTGTTTGTTTAACTGCAGTGTAGACTGAGTATATTCAATATACTTATTTTCTGGATTTTTACTGTGCTGCGGTTACAGAGTGTGTTTGGTATAATTTTGGTTCTTTTACATTTGTTGAGGATTGTTTTATGTCTAATTATGTTGTTGATTTTAGAGTATGTGCCATGCGGAGATGAGAAAAATGTATATTCTGTTGTTTTGGGATGGAAAGTTCTGTAAAGGTGTATCAAATCCATTTGGTCCAATGTTGAATTTAGGTCCTGAATATCTTTGTTCATTTTCTGCCTTGATGATCTGTCTAATATTGTCAGTGAAGTGTTTAAGTCTCCCACTATTATTATGTGAGAGTCTATATCCTTTTGTAGGTCTCTAAGAACTTGCTTTATAAATCTGGGTGCTCCTGTGTTGGGTGCATATATATTTAAGACAGTTAGGTCTTCTTATTGAATTAAACCCATTACAATTATGTAATGTCCTTCTTTGTCTTTTTTGATCCTGTTGCTTTGAAATCTGTTTTGTCTGAAATTAGGATTGCAATCCCTGCTTTCTTTCTGTTTTCCATTTGCTTGGTAGATTTTCCTCCTCTGCTTTATTTTGAGTCTACGAGTGTCATCACACATGAGATGAGTCTCTTGAAGACAGCATGCCATTGGGTGTTGCTTTTTTATCCAGCTGGATATTCTGTGCCTTTTAAGTGGGGCATTTAGCTCATTTACATTCAAGGTTAATATTGATATGTGTGGATTTGAGCCTATCATTGTGCTGTTAGCTGGTTATTATGTTGGCTTGTTTGTGTGGTTGCTTTACAGTGACACTGTTTTGTGTATCTCAGTGTGACTTTTATTAGTCTTTCCTTTTTATTAGTCTTTCCTTTCTATATTTAGTGCTCCTTTCAAGATCTCTTGTAAAGCAGATTCAGTGGTAATGAATTCCCTTAATGTTTGCTTATCTGAAAAGGATTTTATTTTTGTTTTCACTTAGGAAGCTTAGTATGTCTGGATATGAAAAGCTTGGGTGAAGATTATTTTCTTTAAGAATGTTGAATATTGGCCCACAATCTCTTCTGGCTTGTAGGATTTCAACTGAGAGGTCTGCTGTTAGCCTGATGGGGTTTCCTTTGTAGGTGACCTTCCTTTTCTATCTAGCTGCCTTTAACATTGTTTTTCATTTTGATTTTGGAAACTCTGATGATTATGTGTCTTGGAGATGATCTCCTTGTGTAGAAACTTGGAGGAGTTCTCTATATTTTCTGAATTTGACTGTTGGTCTCTCTAGCAAGGTTGGGGAAGTTTTCATAGATAATATCCTGAAATACGTTTTCCAAGTTGTTCGATTTCTCTACCTCCCTTTCATGGATGCCAATAATTCATAGATTTGGACTCTACATAATCCTGGACTTCATAGAGGTTTTGTTCATTCCTTTTTATTTATTTTTGTCTGACTGTTTTATTTCAGAGAACTAGTCTTCAAGTTCTGAGATTCCTTCCTCAGCTTGGTTTAATCTGCTGTTAACACTTGTGATTGTGTTTTGAAATTCTTATATTCTGTTATTCAGCTCTGTCAGACTTATTAGGTTCTTTTTTATACTGGCTATTTCATCCTTCTGCTCCCGTATTGCTTTATTGTGATTTTTATTTTCTTGGGATTAGGTTTTGCCATCCCACTGAATCTTGATTATCTTTGTTCTTATCTATATTCTGAATTCTATTTCTGTCATTCCAGTCAGTTCAACCTGGTTAAGACCTCTTTTTGGAGAACTGGTGCAGTTGTTTAGAGAACATATGACACTCTGTCTATTTGAGTTACCTGAGTTCTTGTGTTGATTCTTTCTCATCTCTGCCTGTGGGTCTTCCTTTAACTGTAGTATAGATTGAGTACATTCAATAGACTTCTTTCATGGATATTTTCACTGGGCCAAGGCTTTGTGCAGGGTCTTTATTTGAAGCTGACTTCTTGTCTCTGGTTTCAGACAGGGGTAAATTAGTGAGGTATTTTTGATGTTGAAGTTTTGGGGTGTGATCCAGCAAGTGGCACATAGGCTTATTGGTCAGTTGGTAGACTCTTGTTCCATTGTGTGGCTCCCCTATGTTTCCCCACAATTGCAGTCATGTTCCCTCTCAATGCTCTGAAAATGTGAGCTCCTCTCCCCCTTGAGTGCTGGCTATAGATTGGCTATAGATTGGCACTTCTAGGCTGCCCATTGCTGCTCTGGGGGGATCTCAGTGTTTATGTTCCTTCCCGAACTTGGAGGCAGCAGAGGAAGGGACCTTAGTAATGGTCATGGCCAAGGATTGTCTGCTTGTCTGCTGGGGGCTCCACCCCAGAGAGATGCATGTCAACAATTGTTCAGTGTAATCAGCCAAGGATGGAGGGTCTGTGCTGTGGGCCCAAGACAGGGGTTTCCTGTCTGGTGATGAGCAGTGGGTGTGTGTGGGACCTGTGGGAGACAGGCTGGCCTCCTTTCCTTGTGTCAACTGCAGCTTGTTGGAAATTAGATAAGGCACTTAAGGTCTTTGCTCCTTCATTAGTCTGAGGGTGGCAATGGCAGTTCCAATGCAGAGGCAGTGGCAGAGAGGCTTTCAGTTGCCCCTAGAGGTTCTGTCCAGGCAGTTGATGAGTTGCAACTGGCTTGATAACTCTGGCAGAGGGTAGATGGAGGTCCGGGCCTGGAGAAAATGCCCAGTGAAGAGAAATGGGAATGGTCCCCCATGTAATAGTCTAGCCAATTTTCCATAGAGCTGCTGTGATATGCTGGGGGCCTGCTCCAGTCTCTAGTTGCCTCAGATTTTCCAGTACCCAGAGATATCACCAGTGAAGGCTGCAAAAAGCAAAGATAGCTTCCTGCCCCTCCCTCTGGGAGCTTTATCCCAGGGAGGTATGGGCCTGTTGCCATCCCAAAGCCATCTGTAGGAGAAGACTGGAGACCCCAGTAGGGAAGTCCTGCCTTGTGAGGAGGAGTGGAATAGGGGACCTGCTTTAAAAAGCAGTCTGGTCATGTTTTGGTAGAGCAGCTGTGCTGTGCTGGGGTTCCACTTCCGCCCTTGGTCACCTTGAATACTCCAAAGCCTGAAGGCTGCCAACAGCTAAGTCACCCAAACAGCAAAGATGGTGACCCGACCCTCCCTCTGGGAGCTCTGTTCCAGGGAGGTTACAAACCTCTATTGGCCAGAGAACATCAGCAGGGGTAGCTGGAGGCCCCATTTGAGAGGCCCTGCCCAGTGAGGAGTGGAATCAGGCAACCACTTTAAGAACCAGTCTGAACATGTTTTGCTGGAATAGCTGTGCTGTGCTAGGGGATCTTCTGCCTCTTGTTTCCTGAGACTCTCCAAAGTCTGAGGGCTGGAACAGCTAAGTTGTCCAAATAGCAAAGATGGTGGCCTCTGGGGGAATTCAACTCTCTGTCAGCTGAAGAACACTAGCAGGGATGGCTGGAAGTCCCAGTTGACAGGTTCCACCCAGTGAGGAAGAATGGGATCAGGCACCTGCCTAAAGCAGCAGCCTGGCCATATTTTGATAGAGAAGCTGTGCTGTGCTGGGTGATCCCTTCCTTCCCCAGTCAGCTTGGACTCTCCAAAGCCTGAAAGCTGGAGTGGCTAACGCACCTAAGCAGCAAAGATGGTGGCCCACCCCTCTCCCCAGGAAAACCTTCTCAGGGAGGTACAATGTTGCTACTGGTGGCTGGCTAGAATTCCAAGCCAATGGGTCATATCCTGTGAGGTGCCATGGAAGTGGGGCAGGCTGTCACTGCTAACCCCCCTGGATTCAGCCTTTTTTGAGGGGATATGTACGGGCATCTAACCTCCAACATTTCTGGAGCTGGAGCTACTTTTGCCGGAAAGCCTGAGTGTCCAAGGCTCCAGATTCTCCATGTGTGCCCGAGTGGCTATTCTGCAGAGACTCCACAACTTAGCTATGTCTGTCAGATTTTGAAGGTCCTGGTGGAGTGGGTTTACAAGGAGATCTCCTGACCCTAGAGTTGCAAAGATCCACGGGAGAAGCATGGTTTCCCGGGGTCGCACATTCACTCACTGCTTCTCTGGTCAGGGGGGGTTCCCGTGGCTACATGTTGGTCTTGGGTGGGCCGTTGTCATGTCCTGTTTTTCTTTATTCCTCATAGATCAGGTTGCTTTTTGATGAGTTCCAATGTGAGTACCTGGATGTTTCAGTTGAAGGTGTTATATTTACTCACCCCTTTCATTCCTCTCCATGAGAGCCATGCACACTAGCTGCTTCTAGTCAGCAGTCTTGGCCAATCTCCATCTTTTTAATACAATTATTTCTTTTCCTTTGAGCAGATACTCAGTGGTGGGATTGCTGGATTGAATTATACTTCTATTTTTTTGTTCTTTGAGAAATCTCCATACAGTTTTCCACAGGGGCTTTAGTAATTTGTGTCCCCTCCAACAGCCTGTAAGCATTCCCTTTTCTCTACATCCTCACCAATATGTAGTTTCCTGAATTTGTAATAATAGCTATTCTGACTGGTGTGAGATGGTATCTCATTATGGTTTTAATTTGCATTTATCTGATTATGAGTGATGATTAGCATTTTTTAATATACTTGTTGGCTACTTGTATGCCTCCTTTTGAGAATGTCTGCCATTTTTTGTCCATTTATTAATAGGAATATTTGTTTTTTCTTTTTGAATTGTTTGAATTGAGTTTCTTGTATATTTTGGATACTAGTTCTTTGTCAGATGGACAGTTTGCAAATATTTTTTTCCTCTTCTGTAGGTCGTCTGTTTACTCTGATGGCTATTTCTTCTGATGTGCAGAAGCTTTTTAATTTAATTAGGTCCCATTTGTCAATTTTTGTTTTTCTCACAATTGCTTTTGGGGTCTTAGTCATCAGTTCTTTGCCTCGGCCAATGTCCAGAAGAGATTTTTCCAGGTTTTCTTCTAGGATATTTTATGGTTTCAGGTCTTACATTTAAGTTTTTAATCTATCTTGAGTTAATTATTCAAATCCTATTTGAAAAGAGTGGATATTCTCCCTGTTTTCATTATTTCTCAGGTGCAAACATTACAGGCTCAAAAGTGGATCTTTTAGGAAAAAAATTAAGTCATTATAAAACACATTATATCAGAAAACCCCCCACCGGGTTTTGGATATAATGGAGTAACTTCTTATGAACTTCTGTTATTTTCAGAACTTTGGACTTCTAGACTCTTTAAACTCTTTGTACTTATATTTGCTTGAAACTGAAAAAGTAAGACAGGGTTGGTTCACAAAGCAGTGAAGTGGAGTGCTTGAGCCAGTGTTATTTTATTTTTAATTTAATTTTTTAAATCTGGTAAAATTCAAATTCAATAAAATGCCCAGAATTTAAGTGTTTATTTCATCAAGTTTTGATAAATGTGTGCACTCATAAGATCTCCATTCCTTTTAAGATATGGGACATTTACATCAGACCAGTTAATACCCTCTAGGGTTTTCCAGTTAATCCTCACATGCTGCATCTGGACATTACTCCTCTGATTTCTATCATCATAGCTTAGTTTTGCCTGTTTTAGAACTTCATATGACTAGAAGAATGTAATTTTTGTGTCTGTCTTCTTTCACTTAATATGTGAAATTCACTATATTCTTTTGTGATCCAGCACTCCATTCCTCTTTATTGGTGAATATATTGCAACATATGGATAGAGCATAACTTACTAATTCATTCCCTTTTTGATGGGCATTTCAGCTGTTTCCAGTGTTTAAATTATAAACAATACTGTTGTGAACATTCTGGCAGAAGTTTTTTTAACGGACAAAACTTTTCATTCCTTTTATGTTTTTATTCCTTTCATTTTCTTATTAAAATATGTATACATCTTATTTTAATCTTACTTATTACAATAAATACTTTCTTATTAAAATAAGTATACATCTTATAAAAATACATCCCTAGATGTATACTTATTTCTATTAAAAATGTCATACCTTTTTCCAAAGTGGTTGTATCATTTTATATTTCCTTCATGATGTTTGAGAATTCCAGTTGCTCTCCATCCTGATGAACATATGATATTGTCACTATTTTTTATTTTAGTCATTCTCATTGATTTTAATTTGCATTTACTTGATGGTTACTTATGTTGAGAGTCTTTTCATGTGCTTTTTGGCTATTTGTATATCCTCTTGAGAGAAAGGTCTGTTAATGTCTTTTATTAATAATAACTGGATTTTTATAATCATTAAACTGTAAAAGCACTTTATAAATTCTGCATAGAAGTAATTCTTAAATATAAGCATTGAAACTATTTTCCCCAAATCTGTGGTTTGCCATTTCATTTCCCTCATTCTGTTTTTTGAAGAGTTTAGATTTTTTTTTTTTATTATTATACTTTAAGTTTTAGGGTACATGTGCACATTGTGCAGGTTAGTTACGTATGTATACACATGCCATGCTGGTGCGCTGCACCCACTAACTCGTCATCTAGCATTAGGTATAACTCCCAGTGCTATCCCTCCCCACTCCCCCCACCCCACCACAGTCCCCAGAGTGTGATATTCCCCTTCCTGTTGAACAATGAGATCACAAGAGTTTAGATTTTTTAATTTCAAAAAATATAATATAATTTAACAATTTTTTAATAAATACCATTTTTATGTCTTAAGAAATATTTGGCACCTCAAGTTGCAAAACATTTGGTATCTCAATACTTTGTTAAGATATTCTTTCCTGTTTTTTTTTCTAGAAGATTTATAGTTTAGCTTTTATGTTTAGGTTTCTGATCTACCTCAAAATAATTTTTAAGAAGGGTATGGAACAATATCATTATGGTCCCTTTTTTCTTCCCACAAACATATTCTGAGTTTCCAGCACCATTTGTTAAAATTACTATCATTTTCCTATTAGATTAATTTGAGTGAAGCTGAATTGATGATATATGTATGGGTCTATGTCTAGACATTTTTATGGGTTATTGTAACTTTAAAGTAAATCTTCTATGCTGTATAATTTTACAAGTTTGCTCTTCTTTGTCAAAATTTTTGGAGCTAGTTATGTCCTTTTGCATTTTCATGTAAGTTTTATAATGGGATTGTCATTTTTAAACAAAAAACGCTTGCTATTATTTTGATTAAAATATTTTTGAATTTGCAGATAATTTTGGAAAAGATTGACATCTTAATAATATTGAGTATTCCAATTAATTAATATGTTATAGCCCTCTATTTTTATTTGGATATTTTTACTTTTTCCCCCAAATTTTTGTTGTTCTAGTGTACAGGTCTTACACATTAGTGTTTACTATATCCCTATTTATATTTTTAATGCTAGTGTACAATAAATTTTTAAAATTTTATTTTACAATTATTTGTTGCTAGAATTAAAAATATGTACACATATTGACTTTATATAGTGCAAACTTACTAAATTATGCATCAGTTCTAGTAGATTTTTTTAAAGATAACGGAGTTCTTATATAATAAACCATGATGTGTGAAAATACAAACAGTAAGCAGTATGCCTTCTTCTTCTTCTTCTTCTTCTTCTTATTATTATTATTATTATTATTATTATTTTGAGAAAGAGTCTTACTCTGTCGCCCTGGCTGGAGTGCAATGGTACAATCTCGGCTCACTGCAACCTCCCCTACCAGGTTAAAGTGATTTTCCTTTCTCAGCCTTCCGAGTAGCTGGGATTACAGGCTCTCGCCACCACGCCCAGCTAATTTTTGTATTTTTATTAGAGACAGGGTTTCACCATGTTGGCCAGGCTAGTCTCGAACTCCTGACTTCAAGTGATCCGCCTGCCTAGGCCTCCCAAAGTTTTGGGATTACAGGCATGAGCCACTGTGCCCAGCCTTCTTCATCCAATTTTTATGCTTTTTTACTTCTTTTTGTTGCCTATAGCACTGGTTAGTATCTCTGATAAAATGTTAAATAAAAGTGGTAAGAGTGGATATCCTTTGGTACCTTTTAATGAATATTATAGCATTAAGTAGAATATTAGCTGTAAATTCTTTGGACATGTCCCTTTTTCTCATTGAAGAAGTTCCTTTCTATATCTACTTTGTTAAATACTGTTATTATAGATGAGAATTTAGATATTTTTTCAAATGCTTTTTCTGCACTTATGGAAATTATTACATAACTTTTTTTCTGTGATCTATTAATGTTTTTGACTGCATTGGTTAATTTTTTAATATTGAACATTGCATTCTTGGAATAAATTCAACTTGGTCATGATGCTCTCATATATATGTATTGCCTGATTTGATTTGTAAGGATTTTGTTTAGAACTTTTGCATCTCTGTATATGAGTGATACCAATATATACTTTTCTTTTCTTATAATGTTACTGTAAGCTTTTGGTACCAGTTTTTACACTGTTTTCATAAAATGAATGGAGGATGGTTTCTGCCAATATCTTTTAAAGAGTTTAGAAATATTGGTATTATTGTCCCTGTTTGCAGATTACATGATTGTATATCTTGAAAACCCCATCATCTCAGCCCAAAATCTCCTTAAGCTGATAAGCAACTTCAGCAAAGTCTCAGCATACAAAATCAATGTACAAAAATCACAAGCTTCCTTATACACCAATAACAGACAAACAGAGAGGCAAATTATGAGTGTACTCCCATTCACAATTGCTTCAAAGAGAATAAAATACCTAGGAATCCAACTTACAAGGGATGTGAAGGACCTCTTCAAGGAGAACTACAAACCACTGCTCAAGGAAATAAAAGAGGATACGAACAAATGGAAGAACATTCCATGCTCATGGGTAGGAAGAATCAATATCGTGAAAATGACCATACTGCCCAAGGTAATTTATAGATTCAATGCCATCCCCATCAAGCTACCAACGACTTTCTTCACAGAATTGGCAAAAACTACTTTAAAGTTCATATGGAACCAAAAAAGAGCCCGCATCACCAAGTCAATCCTAAGCCAAAAGAACAAAGCTGGAGGCATCACGCTACCTGACTTCAAACTATACTACAAGGCTACAGTAACCAAAGCACCATGGTACTGGTACCAAAACAGAGATATAGACCAATGGAACAGAACAGAGCCCTCAGAAATAATGCCGCATATCTACAACTATATGCTCCTTGACAAACCTGACAAAAACAAGCAATGGGGAAAGGATTCCCTATTTAATAAATGGTGCTGGGAAAACTGGCTAGCCGTATGTAGAAAGCTGAAACTGGATCCCTTCCTTACACCTTATACAAAAATTAAGTCAAGATGGATTAAAGACTTAAACATTAGACCAAAAACCATAAAAACCCTAGAAGAAAACCTAGGCAATATCATTCAGGACATAGGCATGGGCGAGGACTTCATGTCTAAAACACCAAAAGCAATGGCAACAAAAGCCAAAATTGACAAATGGGATCTAATTAAACTAAAGAGTTTCTGCACAGCAAAAGAAACTACCATCAGAGTGAACAGGCAACCTACAGAATGGGAGAAAATTTTTGCAATCTACTCATCTGACAAAGGGCTAACATCCAGAATCTACAATGAACTCCAACAGATTTACAAGAAAAAAACAAACAACCCCATCAGAAAGTGCGCGAAGGATATGAACAGACACTTCTCAAAAGAAGACATTTATGCAGCCAAAAAACACATGAAAAAATGCTCATCATCACTGGCCATCAGAGAAATGCAAATCAAAACCACAATGAGATACCATCTCACACCAGTTAGAATGGCGATCATTAAAAAGTCAGGAAACAACAGGTGCTGGAGAGGATGTGGAGAAATAGGAAAACTTTTACACTGTTGGTGGGAATGTAGACTAGTTCAACCATTGTGGAAATCAGTGTGGTGACTCCTCAGGGATCTAGAACTAGAAATACCATTTGACCCAGCCATCCCATTACTGGGTATATACCCAAAGGATTATAAGTCATGGGGCTATAAAGACACATGCACACATATGTTTATTGCAGCACTATTCACAATAGCAAAGACTTGGAACCAACCCAAATGTCCAACAATGATAGACTGGATTAAGAAAATGCGGCACATATACACCATGGAATAGTGTGCAGCCATAAAAAATGATGAGTTCATGTCCTTTGTAGGGACATGGATGAAACTGGAAACCATCATTCTCAGCAAACTATCGCAAGTACAAAAAAAGAAACACCGCATGTTCTCACTCATTGGTGGGAATTGAACAGTGAGAACACATGGACACAGGAAGGGGAACATCACACACTGGGTCCTGTTTTGGGGTGGGGGGAGTGGGGAGGGATAGCATTAGGCGATATACCTAATGCTAAATGACAAGTTAATGAGAGCAGCACACCAACATGGCACATGTATACATATGTAACAAACCTGCACATTGTGCACATGTACCCTAAAACTTAAAGTATAATAATAATAAAATTAAAAAAAGATACCATTTAAAAAAAATACCAGTTAAAAAAATATACCATTTGATATCTTATGACCTCCATTGTTTCTGATGAAAGGTCAGCAATAATTGCACTCTTTGTTTTTCTAAATGTAATTTGTTATTTTATTTTGGCTGCTATGAAGATTTATTTATATATCTTTCCTTTTTAGCATCTTCACTGACATGTAGATGATTTTCTTTGCATTCATTCTTCAGTGGCTTATCTAGCTCCTTGGATCTTTTAAATGGTGCTTTCATCAAATGTGAAAATTTTGGTCAATATTTGTGAGAATGTATTTTCTGCCTCATTCTTTTTCTTTCCACCTTCTAGTATACCAATTACACAAAATACTAGAAAAATATTTTACATTACTCTATAAGTCAGAGTTTAATAGTCTCTTATCTCTCCTTGGCTTAGTTTGCATGATATTTGTTAATATGTCCTCAGGTTGATTATTTCCTCTGTTCTTTTCTTTCAATCTGCTGTCAATCTCATATAATGATTTTCTTGTTTCACATATTGTATTTTTCAGCTTAATAATTTTCATTTGGTTTATCATTATAGTTTCCAAACATATCCTGACCATCTTCCCATCTTTTAACAAATTTTACTCATTCTGTCCTCTAGATTTTATAGAATATTCATCAAATATATTTTAAAATATTTATATGCCTATTACAGCAATTAAGATGTCTGTAGGTCTCTTTTTGTTAACTGATCTTTTTTGACTATGCTTCAAAAGAACTATACTGGTATTTGTGTTTCTTCCCATATCTAGCAAAATTTTTGACGTGGTATACATGAGACTTTGTGGGACACATTGTAGAGAATCTTGATTATGTTCTCTTTCTCTAAAGAATTTTGCCTTAATGGGCAGTTAAATTACTGGCACATAGCCTTGAACTAGTTGATAGCTTGGTTTTATGCTTTACTAATCTGGGTCTTTTGGTTTTGAACATAGTCCTGGGGGAAATTTCCTATTCCTAGGATTTAGTCTATTTCTAGGGTAAACTAGACTAGGGTAGCACTTCTGAGCTTTCAACAGACAGTCCAATGTGCTTAACATATCCCTCACTTGGCAGAATTCCAACTTCAAACTCTGTTTCCTGGAGTGTGTAGTTCTGAAAAATCTGGTTAGTTCCCCTGGACTTCTTAGATTCTTGCCCAAGCGTGCATGATTTAGGAGTCAGCCATGAGTTTGAGGAAGACTATTTAGGTCCAGTCCCAAGACTGCATATCTGTAAAGAAGAGAGATCTACTTCTTACAATTCTATATTCTGCAAAGTCCAAGATCAAGGACCTGGCACCTCTTACTGGTAAAGGGCTTCTTGCTGCATCATCCTACAGTGGAAAGCAGAAGGTGAAAAGAGCACACCCTGGAGGGTGGGAAGAAGATCAAATTCATTCCTATATCAGAAACCCACTGCCATGATAATAAACCCACTGCCCAAATAATGGCATTAATCTATTTGTAGGCCCTTATGACCTAGTCACCTCAAAGGTGTCACCTCTCAACACTGTTGCACTGGTTTCCAATATAACTCTTCAATACATTGATCTGGGGATACATTCAAACCATATCAGAGTTATACTTACATTTTGGGGCTCTCTCATCTGTTACTCCCTGCTACTCAAAAATTATTTCCTCAATTTCTAACTGCATTTTGCAGCTACAAACATTTCTTCTCACTTATGTGGCCAATAAAACTTAATTTTGAGAGAAGGTGAAGAAAGATGACTGAATAGAAGCCTTCACCAATTGCTCCCCCCACAGGAACATCAATTAAACAACTATCTACATGAAAAACTACCTTTATAAGAACCAAAAATCAGGTGAGCCATCACAGTATTTGGTTTTAACCTTGCGTCATTGAAAGAAGCACTGAAGAGAGTGGGAAAGACAGTCTTAAATTGCTGATGCCACCTGTTCTCCATCCCTGCAATTCAAGATAACACAGAGAAAGAATTCAGAATTCTATCAGATAAATTTAACCAAGAGAATGATTCATGATACAAAGGAGCTCCAATACATCTGGTAGCAGACTTCTGAGTGCAAACATTACAGGCCAGGAGAGAGTAGCATGACATACTCAAAGTGCTGAAAGAAAATAACTTTTACCCTGTAATAGTATTATTTAGTGAAAATATCTTTCAAACTTGAAGGAGAAATAAAGCCTTTCCCAGACAAACAAAAGCTGAGAGATTTCATCAATACCAGAGCTGTCTTACAAAAAAATGCTAAAAGAAGTACTTCAATCAAAAAGAAAAAGACATTAATCAGCAATAAATAATCAAATGAAGGGAGAAAACTTGCAGGTAATAGTATTGTGAACACAGAAAAACACAGAATATTGTGACACTGTGACTGTGTAAACTGTTTTTATTCTAAGTAAAAAGGCTAAACAATAAACCAATTAAAAATAATAACTACAACAGCTTGACATAGAAAGTATAATAAGATATAAATAGAAACATCAAAAAGTTAAAAAGTGAGGGAACAAAGTTAAGACACAGAGTTTTTATTAGTTTTCTTTTTGCTTGTTTGTTTATGTAAATAGTGTTAACTTATTATCAGGTTAAAATAATGGGTTATAAAATAGTATTTGCAAGCCTCGTGGTAACTTCAAACCAAAAAATATTCAATGGATACACAAAAATAAACATCAAGAAACTAAATTATATCACAAGATAAAATCACCTTCACTAGAGGAAGAGAGGATGGAAAGAAACAAGAAAGAGAAGACCACAAAACAACAGAAGACAAATAGCAAATTGGCAAGAGTAAATTCTTACTTATCAATAATAACATCAAATGTAAGCCCACTAAACTCTCCAATCAAAAGGCATAGACTGGCTGAATGGATGAAATAACAAGACTCATTGATCTGTTGCCTACAGTAAACACAATTCACCTATAAAGACACATATAGATTAAAAATAAAGAGATGAAAAAAGATATTCCATGCCAATGGAAACCAAAAAAAGAGCAGGAGTCACTATAATTATTTCAGACAAAATAGATCTCAAGGCAAAAATTACCAGAACAGACAAATGATAATGAAAAGGGGTCAATGCAGCCAGAGGAAATAACAATTTTAGATATATATGCACCCAAAACTGGAGCACCTATATATAATTTTATATATATATAAAATATTAATAATATATAATATTATTAGAGCTAAAGACAGAGATAGGCCCCAGTAAAATAATAGGTGGAGACTTCAACACCCCACTTTCAGCATTGGACAGATTTTCTAGACAGAGAAGCAACAAAGCAACATCAGACTTAATCCGCACTATAGACAAAAATGGGCCTCATAGATATTTACAGAATATTTCATCCAAGAGCTGCAGAACACATATGAATCATTCTCAAGGATAGACCATATGTTAGGTCACAAAACAAGACATAAAACACACAAAAAATGAAATAATATCAAGCATTTTCTCTAACCACAATGAAGTAAAACTGGAAATTAATAACAAGAGAAATTTCAAAAACTATACAAATGCATGGAAATTAAAGAATGTGCTCCCAAATGACCAGTGAGTTAATGAAAACATTTTTAAAAAATTGAAAATTTTCTTGAAACAAGTCATAATGGAAACATGACATACCAAAACCTATCAGATACACCAAAAGCAGTACTAAGAAGTTTATAGCTATAAGAGCCTACATCAAAGAAGAGGAAAAACTTCAAATGAATAATCTAATGATGTATCCTAAACAACTAGAAAAACAAGAGCCAAGCAACCCCCAAATTAGCAGAAGAAAAGAAAAAATGAAATCAGAGCAGGAACAAATGCAATTGAAAGAAAGGAAAAGATGCAAATACATAAAATCAGAAATAAAAAAGGAGACATTAAAACTGATACTGCAGAAATTCAAAGGATCAGGCCAGGTACAGTGGCTCATGCCTGTAATCCCAGCACCTTGGGAGGCCGAGGCAGGTGGATCACCTGAGGTCAGGAATTCGAAACCAGCCTGACCAACATGGTGAAACCCCATCTCTACTAAAAACACAAAATTAGCCAGGCCTGGTGGTGGGTGCCTATGATCGCAGCTACTCGGGAGGCTGAGGCAGGAGAATCACTTGAACCCAAGAAGCGGAAGTTGCAGTGAGCCGAGATTGCACCATTGCACTTCAGCCTGAACAACAAGAGAGAAACTCCATCTCAAAAAAAAAAAAAAGAAAAGAAAAGAAAAAAAAGAAATTTAAAGAATCATTAGCGGCTACTATGCGTAACTACATGCCAATCAATTAGAAAATCTAGAAGAAATGGACAAATTCCTGAATACATAAGACCTACCAAGATTGAACCAGGAAGAAATCTGAAACCTATACAGAAAAATAACAACTAATCAGATCAATGCCATAATAAAAAAAATTCCCAGTAAAGAAAAGCCCAAGACTCGATGACTTCACTTCCAAATTCTACCAAATATTTCAAGAAGAACTAGTACCAATCCTACTCACATTATTCAGAAAAATAGAGAAGGGAGAATACTTCCAAACTCATCCTATAAGGCTGGTATTACCCTAATACCAAAACCACATAAGGACACATCAAAGAACGCAAAACTCAGGCCAATCTCTCCAATGAATATTGATGCAATAATTATCAACAAAATTATAGCAAACCAAATCCATCAAAACATTAGAAAGATCATTCATCTTGACCAAGTCGGATTTTTCTCTGACATGCAAGGATGGTTCAACATAAGCAAATCAATCAACGTGATACATCATATGAACAGAATGAAGGATAAAACTTTTCAGCATCACTTGAAATAATATTATTTTTGAATATGATTACTGAAAAATAATCATATTTCAAGTGATGCTGGAAACCATTTGATGACATTCAACATCCCTTGATGTTTTTGATACTCAAAAAAACAGTATAGAAGGATCATACCTCAACATAATAAAAGCCATATATGACAGGCCCACAGCTAGTATTATACAGAATGTGGGAAAATTGAAAAACCTTTTCTCTAAGATCTGGAACATGACAAGAATGCCCACTGTCACTACTGTTATTTAACATAGTACTGGAAGTCATAGCTAGAGCAATCAGACAAGAGAAAGCTATAAAGGGCATACAAAATGGAAAGGAAGAATTCAATTTATACTTGTTTGCTGATGATATGATCTTATATCTGGAAAAACCTAAGGACTCCACAAGAAAACTATTAGTCCTCAAACTATGAAATGACTACAAGAAAACATTGGAGAAACTCTCCAGGACATTGGTCTGGGCAAAGATTTCTTAAGTAATACCTTACAAGCACAGGCAACCATAGCAAAACTGGACACATAGGATCACATCAAGTTGAAAAGCTTCTGCACAGCAAAAGATACAGTCAACAAAGTGAAGAGACAACTCACAGAATGAGAGAAAATATTTGTAAACTACACATCTGACAAGGGATTAATAACCAGAATTTATAAGGAGCTTAAACAACTCTATAGGAAAACATCTAATAGTCTGATTATATAATGGGCAAAAGATCTGAATAGACATATCTTAAAAGAATACAAACAAATGGAAAAAAATTTTGAAAAGGTGCTCAGCATCATTGATCATCAGAGAAACGCAAATCAAAACTACACTGAGATATCATATCACCCCCAGTTAAAATGGCTTATATCCAAAAGACAGGCAATAGCAAATGCTGGCAAGGACTGGAGAAAAGGAAACCCTTGTACACAACAATTTTTTAGTGGGAAATTAAATTAATACAACCACTATGAAGAATATTATGAAAGCTCCTCAAAAAACTAAAAATAGAACTACCATACAATCCACAATCCCACTGCTAGGTATATACTCAAAAGAAAGGAAATCAGCATATAAAAGAGCTTTCTGCACTCCCATGTTTATTGCAGCACTATTCACAGTAGCCAAGATTTGGAAGCAACCTAAGTGTGCATCCACAGATGATTGGATAAGGAAAATGTGGTACATATACACCATGGAGCACTATTCACCCATAAAAATAACGAGATCCTGTCATTTGCAACAACATGGATAAAACTGGAGATCATTATGTTATGTGAAATAAGCCAGGAACAAAAATACAAGCTGCTATTCTCAGTTATTTGTGGGAGCTAAAAATTAAAACAATTGAACTCATGGAGGTAGAGAGTAGAAGGATAATTACTAGAGGTGGGAAGGGTAGTGATCAGGTCAGAGGGGATGTGGGGATATTTAATTGGTACAAAAAATAATTAGAATAAGAATAAGAAGTAGAATAATAAGTAGTATTTGGTTGCACAACAAAGCAACTATAGTCAATAATAATTTAATTTTACATCCAAAAATAAACTGTATAATTGGATTATTTATAACACAAAGGATAAATGCTTGAGATGATGGATACCTTATTTACACTGAGGTGATTATTACACTTTGGATAGCTGTATCAAAATATCTCATGTACCTCATAAATATGTATACCTACTATGTACCAACAAAAATTAAAAATAAAAAACTGTGTCTTTTTAAGTTCCATCTGCTTTGTTCTTTGTGCATTACGAAGTGCTCTCAGAGAAAAAGCCATAGACATCCTATGTCTTATCTAATGTGATTTTGTTTTTATAAGGGGTAGATAGAACAGTTTCTGCCTGATAGAACAGTTTCTGCCTGATTTTGATACCTTCAGAGTATTTTAATAAATAGTTTTCCCAGAGCTTTTTATTTGTGGGAATATTAGTCCAGTAAAAGCTTTTCTATCACTACCGGAAACTAAACATGGGCCAATGACTTATAAACCCACTCCTGTGAATCACAAGGATGCAGAAAAGCTATGTCACTGTCTGAGAAGAGGGTGTTCTTCTTTCTATTTATATATGTGTAGCTTTAAATGAAACAATTTCACATATTTGTAATTTATTTTAATACTCTACTTGAAGAAAATAGTTCACTACTTGGAAGTCACCTTTCCAATCTCGTGACAATATTATTTTTTAAAATCTGATTTTTCTATTTAAGTATGTTTATAAAGGTCATATTATGACACAAACTGTGAGAACATTGCTCACTCACTCTACACTTAGGCTATCCAACAATGTTGGTGATCCATGCTTGGATCTAAATGCTTGAGCCTTATTAGAACATCTTGGAGTTATCAAGGCCAATGACAAAAATTCACAGTGAGCCACACAGAGTGGTGGGTGGGAGTATACTTCAAACTGTAGAATGACTTTATCAGACAGTTTAAATTCTCAATGTGTGTATAGCAGAGCATCAAATATTTACGTAAGAACTTTTTTAATTTTTTATTTTCTGGAATGATGTTGTTTGTGCTTTAAGTCTTGGTAATCAAGGCCAATCTCTTCTTATTAAAATTTTTAAAACTAGCTTCCAAAGACGTAACAAAATGCTTGTCTGGTTGTAATAAAAATTGAGATATAAGTAGAGGTGCTTTTCACAAGAATAGCACATGAAATGTAAAATATGAAAGTGGTATCTGCTATAAGTGATTTTTTTGTTGTGTCTTAGTCTTTTCTGTCTGCTATAATAAAATATAAACTGATTGACTTATTAGCAACAAAAATTTATGTCTCAAACAGTTTTGGAGGCTGGGAAGCTCAAAATCAAAGCATCAGCAGTCAGTGTCTGCCGAGGCCCATTTCCTGACTTATAGATGGTTCCTTGTTTTTTGTTTCGTTTTTTAATTTTACTTAAATTCGGGGATACATGTGCAGAACGTGCAGGTCTGTTACATAGGTATACATGGGCTATGGTGGTTTGCTGCACTTATCAACACATCATCTAGGTTTTAAGCCCCACATGCATTAGGTATTTGTTCTAATGCTCTGCCTCCCCTTGCCCCCTACCCCTCAACAGGTCCCAGGTGTATGATGTTCCCCTCCCTGTGTCCATGTGTTCTCATTGTTCAACTCCCACTTTCGAGTAAGAACATGCAGTATTTGGTTTTCTGTTCCTGTGTTAGTTTGCTGAGGATGTTGGTTTCCAGCTTCATCCATGTCCCTGCAGAGGAAATGAACTCATTCTTTTTTATGGCTGCATAGTATTCCAAGGTGCTATATTTTCTTTACCTAGTCTATCATTGATGGGCATTTGGGTTGGTTCCACGTCTTTGCTATCGTAAATAGTGCTGCAATAAACATATTTGCCCTCACATAGTGAATGAGACAAATGAGCTCCCTTCAGCCTATTTTGTAAAATTCCTAATCCCCTTCATGAGGGTTCCAGCCTCATGACCTAGTCAGTTTCATAAGCCTTCTTCATCTACCACCATCACACTGGTGAGTAGGTTTTGACATGCATTTGGGGTGAATGCTGTCATTCAGAGCAGAGCACACAGCCACAACTCACTATTATTTACATGTAGAAATAAAGAATAAAATGATTTCAGGGCTTCTTTATATCCATGCTGAAGATAATATAAATAAAATATAAAATGCAATTTAAATGCTTATTCATTTACATCCATGACTATAAAATGCACTGCATAACTCATTTACATGTGTATAATGAATACATATTTTCTGAGGTCTTCTCATACAATCAGAAAGTCAGCATAATGAAATAACATCCTACATTTGATGTGGGGGCTGAGGGAAGAGGGAAAGCTGCATGTAAAGAAACAATTCTATTTTGTAAATGATTTAATCTTGATCACTAAATTATTAATTTTATATGTAATTTTATTACTTATATTTATATTATAATAAAATTGTGATAGTTATTCAATAGCAATTAATGAGGCAATAAGTTCACAGACATTGTGAAAAAGACTGAACAAGAAACAGTCCTAAGCTAGTGGATTTGATAATATCGTAAGAAGATACGTATGAGTGAAATATGGTGAGTACTGTCACAGACTCTCACGTCATATTCCAGAAACATTGACTTTGTATGTGTAATACATTTGTTAATATTTGTATTGTGTGGTACATAAACATAAAGAAAGTTATAGAGATAATATAGTACTAACACTCTTTACCTATGCCTTGTTACTATTACAAATTGTTAATATTTTAAATTTTTAATAAATAAAATATTACAGAAAACTTGAACTCCCTTTTGTACTCCTTCTTCTCCCTATTCTCTGAAGATAATTAGTATAATAAAGTTGTATAAGCTCCCTGAATGCTTTTGAAATTTTGACTGTGGATGTTTAAATCCATAAATAATATCTACTATTTAGTATTTTTTAAAACATTCACAACTTTTTTAATCATTCAACATTATGTTTGTGAAATTAATCTATTTGATTCTTAGAATCCACTCATTTTTACTACTGAAAAGCATTTAGTCATGTAAATATACCAATATTTATTAATCAGTTTTCCAGCTGATTTAGTTTCTTCCAATTTTAGGTTAGGTCACTACAAACATTTTTGTGTGTGTTTCCTTGTGTATAGTTAAAAGAGTGAAACTATAGTGTATATATTTAAGTGTGGCATTGCTGTATCTTAAGAGATGCAATCTTTAGCTTTACCAGATATTATAAAACAATTCTACAAATTTGTTGTAACCATTTTTATTCCACTGGGTGAGTATGAGAATGTACATTGTTCTACATCTTCAATGATATTTCATATGGTCAGACTTTTGAGTCTAGTAGCTATCATGTTGATTAAATTTCACTTTTTAATCTATTAATGAGTTGATTGATATATTTATTAGCTACTTAGGATTCTTCTTCCATGAATTACCTGCTTATATTCTTTTTCCGTTTTTAAATAATTATATGGGTATTTCTCTTTGGTTTGTAGAGATTATATATTTTTCAGTTAAACTTTGTTGATTATATGGATTAAAAACACCTTTCACTCTGTATTTTATCTTTGAACTTTGTTTATTTTTTCAAAGGAAGATTTCAATTTTAACGTAGTTAAGTTTATCAATCTCTCTTTATGATTGCATTTTGTCTCAAGAAATTTTTCTTGAACTTAATATGATAAATATATCAACATATTTTCTTACAAATTTTGTTAAAGTTTTGAATTTTTCACATTTATGGTTTTCAATCAATCTGGATTATATTTTTGTAATATAGTAGGAATATATTAGTAGAATATTGTAGAAATACATTAGTAGAATATAGTAGAAAATTATTTTTCTCTTTATTGACAATTACCTGTTTCAGTATTTCTAATACCATTATTCTTCATGGCTAATGTGTAATGTCTTAACTGGGTGCACTGGTTCTGTTTGCTGAATCATGTCTTCTTTTTGCTTAATTTCTCAAAGGGAAATTCAAAAAATAAGTGGCTCCAGGAGGATGGCACCTACTGGCTCTGTTCATTAAAATAACTAAGATCTTTTATCATATTTTTTGGTTGCTAAATAATTCCCACAAATTATTTTGGATAATTGAGTGCTTAATTAAAAGAAAGAGGGTCAAAGGTATCATTGCATTTAGAAAGAGTACTTGAAATATCTTCAGTCTGAGTCTTTGAATCAGCAGGAATAAATCAGTTTGAACATAAAAATAAATATAATTAATAATATTTTCTTGTTATACTCCTGGGCTCTTTTTTAGTTCAGTCTAGAATTCAGTACAGCTTTCTAGGAGCCTAATATGTGATGAAGTCATAACATTTGTGTTGGATGGTGGTTCTGGAGCAATGTTTTAGTTGTCTGTTTAGTACATTTCTTAAATCTCTCTCAATGTAAGGGCTGAATAATTGATAGCACACATGTGCAGAAAAGTGAACTCAAAGCAATTTTCAGTGAAGCATGAGTAGGTTGTCAAAATTCCACCTATTCTTCACGTATTTCAGGTGAAATCTCACACACACACAACTCACACACACACTTCTCAGATCACATCGGAGAATGTAGGTGTCTATATAGAAAATAGGAAATTAGTTCATTTACACAGGCTGTAATCCACAACAGATCTAGTAAGGAAACAAATATATCTGAATTTTCCAATGCGAAAGAAACAGATTAATCATGAATAATACAAAGCAGGAGAGACTTTAGATGATGGTTTTCTAGCCTGAGGGCATACAAACCCAGACAGGAATTTGAAATAATCACTTTTGTCTTTACTGCCCATCTGTCTCTTTCTCTGCTGCTCTGCAATTTGAAGTCTTCTGGAATCTCATCTTTCCTGCTGTATCGAGGCTTAGTTTTCTGGATTTGCCCTGAGCTCTTCACTCTAGTCAGTGTTGTGGTATATCTCTATTAGGTGTCAAAAAGAAGGCAATGTGATTCACATGAGTGTAGGAATTACTGATGCCATCCAAGACTATATTTTATAAAAGAATGACAAGGACTAATTGGTAAAAATTAAAAGAGAACATAATTTGTATGAAAATAGTGCTAGGAACTAAGCTAGTATTATGGGGCTTAACTTTTAGTGCTCTAAGAACTTGAGAAAGAGATATAAATATACATATTTTTTCCACAATGCAAGAACAAATGCAGGACATATGTGGTGGGAGGCTGGCAGAGGGAATCTGTCTTCTTCCCATCAATTACATTACTAAGATGAGCTGCACAAAAGTCCCCTCTTTTACCCTGATGCATGTTGGCGCCACATGTTCTTCTGGTCCTCCAGGATAAAATCCATCTCACTCCCTCAAGTAACTACATTTACCCCTGTTGCACATCAGGATAATAAGGAGAATTTGATAAACTATTTGAAAATATTATTGACCAGTATTATACACCAATGACAAATTTTACAAACTAGGTACTATTTAAAAGCTGAACTTATTTAAAAATAATGAATCATATCAGCTGTGAGCGCAAATTAAAACAATAAACAAATAAAATGTACTATTCAAATGTCATTAACAAAGCTTTACGTAAGAGTTAAAAGGGCTAGCTCAAATCTTGACTAGATTGTAAAGTTAGTCTATCTTCCATGCTTTCTTAAAAATTCTTTATGTTAGGTTTACAACACCTCTTTGATGCTCTTCAATTTTATAAACCTGAGTCAATGCAATTTAGCAGAACTTTACTGCACACATATTCTACACAACAATCTGCGTTACGCATTTTGAAGCATAAAAAGGGGGACTTATACTTCCTCCCTTAATGAGCTTGCCGCGTATGAATCTTTAAAGCAGCAGCAGCGAACATAAATGTCCTTGGGCCAGGAAGGGAAAATGAAGCAGGTGGGGGGTGAAAAACAACAGGGCGTGGTTGGGACCATGGTAAGTTGGAGAGGAGAGGCAGCCTTCCAAAAGGGTAAGAGGTGAGCTATTCAGCTCTGGCTTATTGCCATGCAGGAATACAGACTCATTGTTACCACATCTTGTGGTTTTTTTGAAAAGCATTTTTATGTGAAATATGGTTTTCAACTATTGACAACAAATTTTAAAAATTAAATGTCAAGGAAAACGTGATTGCAGGCTGAATATTTCACATAGGCTGACAGTTTTAAAACCATAACTTTATAGTGTGTGCTTGGAATATTCCACATACTCTGTTGAGAATAATTAATCCATCCCTTCCCAAACATTGTCATTTGAGTGAAAATGAGCCATGACTTCTAGCTTACCAGATATAAGAAGAATATAATTTTTTTCTGTCTTTTTTACTTTTTACTCAGCAACATTTGCCAAACATGACCATCCCCTGCTTCTAACACTATACTTTCTTACCTTCCCTCCTAATACACTGACATTTCTTCCCAGTCTCTTTGGCAGCTCTGCCACTCTGAATCGTGCTCATATATGGGTGTTACTCACCTTTGTATCTTCAACCTAGATTGCTCTTCCCCTCTCACTTATATCGGTGCTTCCCACTTCCATCTGCTTGGATGTCTAACAGGTGTCTTGTCCCAAAATCTACTCTTAATTTTTTCACAATACTGATCATCCCCAGTTGGCTTCATTGCAGCACCTGGTGTCAGTTGCTTAATCTACGCACTGGCTCAAGGTAGAAATCTGAGATTTATTCTTGATATCTTCCTATTAACTTTGTCCAATTCTCTCCATTTTCACTGTGGCCACACTAGCCCTAGCTACCATCATCTTTCACCTTAATTGCTAAAAAAGCCTCCCAACATGTCTCCTTGAATTAATCCTTGCTTATTATCATACAGCAGCCAAAGATCTTTTTAAATGTCAATTTTTTCATCATACTTTCCTACTTCAAAACCTTCAATGGTCTTTTGGACCTTTGGGTAAAATTCAAAATCCTTACCATGGGCTGCCTGGCTCTGTGTGGGCTAGAATCCCCTGCCTCTGCACTCTGACCAAGCAACTGTATGCCTTGCACAGTACAACCCAGCCACATTCCTCTTCTCCAACAAACCAAGCTTCTCACCATGTCACCATGGTGTATAAACATATTTGCTAATAAAAAACATTTAGAAAAAGTTTCTCTGTCTGGCTTCCATAGTATATGTACATGGTATCCTGATCCTTCAACTAAGATGTAACAGCCAATGTCAAGGTCAGGAAGTTTAGTGAAATATTGGTGAACCTCAGAATATATTGTTTTTAGTCATCATCTCAAACAGCCCTGGAAAGTTGAGTAAGTTGTAAACAAAGTGTTTTACTTTTGTGGGTGATCCTTCTGATATCAGTTTTTATTCCATCCTATTCTGATGCCAACTTTCACTTTATTTCCTCATTGAAACAAAGGAGTATTTTGTAATACAAAATCAAACACAAATTATTGCACTGTGTATTCTACTTAGAAGATCACATTATCTCAGACTGGATCTAGGACAGTCAGAAAATCTGGGCAACACAGATTTTCAGTTGACCTTTGAACAACACAAGTTTGACCTGGACAGGTCGACTTACACATGAATTTTTTTCAATGACTATGTTGGAAAATTTTTGGAGATTTGCAATAATTTAAAAAAATTGGAAGACAAACTGCATAGCCTAGAGATATGAAAAAAATAGGGTAAAGATAGGTAAGTCATAAAAACATAAAATATATGTACATACTGGTCTATTTTATCACTACCATAAAATGTACAAAAAATCTATTATAAAAAGTTAAAATTTATCAAAGCTTATGCACACAAATACAGATTATGTACAGCACCATTCATGGTAGAAAGAAACATAAACAAATGTGAAGATGCAGTATGAAATCATAAGCGCATAAAATCAACTGTGGTACATGTACTACTGTAATAACTTAGTGATCACCTCTTGTTGCTATTGTGGTGAGTTCAAGTGTGGCAAGTATCCACTTAAAATGTATGTGACACTAATAATCTGCCCCTCAGCAGTTTATCTCTCCAGTAAATTTCCTATCACAGAAAAAGTGATCTCTCAGCATTTCAGACATATGATTTATCTTGTAAGCAAACAACATAAATTTACAGGATCGATAAATATGGTACAGTACTATTTTCTCTTCCTTATGACTTTCTTAATAACATTTTCTTTTCTCTAACTTTATTGTAAGAATATATTATATAATATATATAACATACAAAACGTATGTTAATCGACAGCTTACATTGTCAGTAAGCTTCTAGTCAATAGTACGCTGTTAGTAGTTAAGTTTTTAGGAAGTCAAAAGTTACATGCAGATTTCCTGCACAGGGGTTTAGCACCCCTAATCCACATGCTGTTCAAGGGTCAATTGAATCTTTTTCCACAAATAATTACTGAGTCCCCACTATATGAGAGACATTGTACTAAGTCACTGGGATATGCTGGTGAGAAAAACACAGAAACCTCTCCTGGAGTTTATAGTACAGTTGAGGAGACAGCTATAAATCAAATAATCACACAAAGAACTATATTATTATAAGTTGAGATAAGTGCCATGACGAAAAGGGTCACAGTGAACCAAGAGAGTATGATAGAGGAAACTGGCCTAGTTTAGGGGATTGGAAAGTCCCTCTTTAGAAAATAATGCCTAAGTCAAGGCATAAAGAAGAACAGGGATTACCAGCTAAAGAGCAATTTAAGGGAGTTGTAGAAAAAGGGACAACTTTCCAGGGATTGAAATGACATGTGCAAAGGCCCTGAAACCAAAGAGTTTGGTATGATCAAGAAGCTGAATGAAGGCCAGTATTCCGTGTCCACCATGTTTATATAGAGCAGAAGTTATTTCATATATGATGCTATTGGAGGAACAGGCATGGGCCAGGTCACTCAGGATGACTTTTTTTTTTTTTGGAAGAAAGGAAAAAAATTAATATTTTAGTACTTTTACTGACACTTTTTTCCTGACTTTTGAAAAAAAGGTCCTGAATTTCCATTTGCATTGGGCTTTGCAAATTATGTGGCTGGTCTTGCCTGCAGAGCTTGTTACTGGGTGGTTGGGGGTCAGTGAGTCTTTTTTTTTTTTTCATTTTTTTTTTGTTATTATACTTTAAGTTCTAGCATACATGTGCACAACGTGCAAGTTTGTTACATATGTATACATGTGCCATGTTGGTGTGCTGCACACGTTAACTCATCATTTACATTAGGTATATCTCCTAATGCGATCTCCCCCCCACCCCAACCCATGACAGACCCTGGTGTGTGATGTTCCCCACTCTGGGTCCAAGTGTTCTCATTGTTCAATTCCCATCTATGAGTGAGAACATGCAGTGTTTGGTTTTCTGTTCTTGCGATAGTTTGTTCAGAATGATGGTTTCCAGCTCCAACCATGTCCCTACAAAGGACATGAACTCATCACTTTTTATGGCTGCACAGTATTCCATGGTGTATATGTGCCACATTTTCTTAATCCAGTCTATCATTGATGGACATTTGGGTTGGTTCCAAGTCTTTGCTATTGTGAATAGTGCCACAATAAACATACGTGTGCATGTGTCTCTATAGCAGCATGATTTATAATCCTTTGGGTATATACCCAGTAATGGGACGGCTGGGTCAAATGGTATTTCTAGTTTTAAATCTTTGAGGAATCGCCACACTGTCTTCCACAATGGTTGAACTAGTTTACAGTCCCACCAACAGTGTAAAAGTGTTCCTCTTTCTCCACATCCTCTCCAGCATGTGTTGTTTCCTGACTTTTTAATGATTGCCATTCTAACTGGTGTGAGATGATATTTCATTGTGGTTTTGATCTGCATTTCTCTGATGGCCAGTGATGGTGAGCATTTTTCCACATGTCTGTTGGCTGCATAAATGTCTTCTTTTGAGAAGTTTCTGTTCATATCCTTTGCCCACTTTTTGATGGGGTTGTTTGTTTTCTGCTTGTAAATTTGTTTAAGTTCTTTGTAGATTCTAGATATTAGCCCTTTGTCAGATGGGTAGATTGTAAAAATTTCCTCCCATTCTGTAGGTTGCCTGTTCACTCTGATGGTAGTTTCTTTTACTGTACATAAGCTCTTTAGTTTAATTAGATCCCATTTGTCAACTTTGGCTTTTGTTGCTATTGCTTTTGGTGTTTTAGTCATGAAGTCTTTGCCCATGTCTATGTCCTGAACGGTATTGCCTAGGTTTTCTTCTAGGGTTTTTATGGTTTTAGTTCTAACATGTAAGTCTTTAATCCATCTTGAATTAATTTTTGTATAAGGTGTAAGGAAGGGATCCAGTTTCAGCTTTCTACATATGGCTAGCCAGTTTTCCCAGCACCATTTATTAAATAGGGAATCCTTTCCCCATTGCTTGTTTTTGTCAGGTTTGTCAAAGATCAGATGGCTGTAGATTTGTGGTATTATTTCTGAGGGCTCTGTTCTGTTCCATTAGTCTATATCTCCGTTCTGGTACCAGTACCATGCTGTTTTGGTTACTGTAGCCTTATAATGTAGTGTAGTTTGAAGTCAGGTAGCGTGATGCCTCCAGCTTTGTTCTTTTGGCTTAGGATTGTCCTGGCAATGCGAGCTCTTTTTTGGTTCCATATGAACTTTAAAGTAGTTTTTTCCAATTCTGTGAAGAAAGTCGTCGGTAGATTGATGGGGATGGCACTGAATCTATAAATTTTCTTGGGCAGTATGGCCATTTTCACAATGTTGATTCTTCCTATCCATGAGCATGGAATGTTCTTCCATTTGTTTGTATCCTCTTTTATTTCATTGAGCAGTCGTTTATAGTTCTCCTTGAAGAAGTCCTTCAGATCCCTCGTAAGTTGGATTCCTAGGTATTTTATTCTCTTTGAAGCAATTGTGAATGGGAGTTCACTCATGATTTGGCTCTCTGTCTGTTGTTGGTGTATAAGAATGCTTGTGATTTTTGCACATTGATTTTGTATCCTGAGACTTTGCTGAAGTTGCTTATCAGCTTAAGGAGATTTTGAGCTGAGATGATGGGGTTTTCTAGATATACAATCATGTCATCTGCAAACAGGGACAATTTGACTTCCTCTTTCCTAATTGAATACCCTTTATTTCTTTCTCCTGCCTGATTGCCCTGGCCACAGCTTCCAACACTGTGTTGAATAGGAGTGGTGAGAGAGGGCATCCCTGTCTTGTGCCAGTTTTCAAAGGGAATGCTTCCAGTTTTTGCCCATTCAGTGTGATATTGGCTGTGGGTTTGTCATAAATAGCTCTTATAAGATCAAACGGAAGCCACTTAAAAGTTTAAATGAGGGAAGTAACATAAGATTACATTTTGGAGAGGTCACATCAACTACATTGTGGAGAAGAGTTTGAAGAGATTGTGGTAAACCAGGAAGCAGCTAAGAATGATTGTGGTGAGGTGGGGAGAACAGGAATAGAGGTAAAATAATAAATTCAAGAGATGTTCCAAAGATAAAATCAACAGAACTTGGGGATACCCTTGGAATAGAAAGTAAACACAAGATGAAACTCTCAAAGGTGACTTTCAAGTTTCAGGTTTATGAAATTGAGAGCAATTATGCCATTAAATGTGCTAGAAATACTGGAAAATGACTCTCAAAGAGGATGTCCACAAATTCAATGCACATGTTAAATTTGACTTTAGTAGGAGAAAACCATCTTAAAAATAATGTTCTGGAGTTCACTGGAGAGGTACTTAAAGGTTCTTACTCTCTTGTCCTACAATTTTTCTGTCTTCATCCATCAAAATTGTATACAGAGACAGTAAGCTATAAATAAAAATATTTATGGGTTATACTCATTGAGTAATATATGTTAACCTTTTGCTAATCAGATGCATTTTGAAAAGTCTGAAGATTTGAGTTACACAGATTTTACAATGAAATAATCTGCCTGCTTTTTAAAAATGCTAATGACTAGATGTGGGCTGATTCCAATGGGAATTCTTTAGCCGATACCAGTACAAGCCAGCTATCAAGTCAGAAACAAAAGCAATCTGTTGTCATGTTATATACTTCACCCAGAAATAACTTAAGAAGAGTAAATTTGCTGCCAGGCCATATTGAATGCATTCCTAATATGCAATGTACTTGTGTACTTTCAATCCTTCTAAGATTCATATTAGTCACAATCACAGAAGTCTTTTCAAATGTAGACAAGTATTAAAATTGAACATGTGGGGGAAAAACAGAAAGTAAATAATAATTGATAATTATGAAAGCTATTCAGTCTGCTCTTTTGATAATATATGAGTGAATTCTGTAAGAAGCGTACTCAAACACTGTATCTGAGCCCATTTTAATCACCCAACACAAATTTTGATAAAGCAATCTAAATTTGGGAATTCAAAGTATATCAATTAGTAAAAACAGCAACAAAAATAACACTTTATTGCTATAAACATTTATATAAATATATCTCCATGTATGGGATATATATTCAGGAATGCTTATAGCAACATTATATGGACAAAATTCTGGCAACAATTTAAATTATCAATAAGAAAATGTTTGCATGAATTCTGATAGAGTCATGCAGTTAACCATTTAAAATAATTCAGCAAGTCTGTGTGAATTTGCCTGAAAAGGCCATAAAATATTATAAATAAAGTGAAAAGGAAATATCTGCATATAATACAATCTCATTTTAGTAGATAAGTGAAATATATATAGGTACAAATATGTTTAGTATAAACATAAATGTGTTCAAGAAGGATAACTATTTTACTAAATGAATTGGGCTTAGTAAGATTTAAGTATATGGAAAAAAAACCCTTTATTCCTTCTCACCACACTCTGTTGAATTCATTATGTTGACACTTTCTTTCCCAGATCTGTACAGAAATTTAAGCAGGTCCCTTAGCTTTTACAGTCACCCTTAGATAAATTTTAGAAGTTTTCTGAAGTGGATTACTCCTATAAGTCAATTGGTGGGGAAAAAAACAAAACAAAACAAAACAAAACAAAACCAAAAACAACAGAACAGAAAAGCAATAGGAAAACACCAAATGCTAGTGAAGATGTGGAGCAACAGGAACTCTCATTCGTTGCTGATGGGCATGCAAAATGCTACAGCCACTTTGGAAAAAAGCTGGGTGTTTTCTTATAAAACTAAATGTACTCTGACCACACAATTCAGCAAATGTGCTTCTCGATATTTACATAAAGGAGTTGAAAACATATGTCAACACAAAAACCTGCATATGGATATTTACAGAAGCTTTATTTATAAATGCCAAAACTTGGAGATGACCAAGATGTCCTGTAGTAAATGAATGAAGGGATAAACTGTAGTACATCCAGAGAATAGAATATTATTATTTTGTTGTGTTCTATTTGTAGGGGCTTGAAGTTGTTTTAGTTAAATTTCAACTTTTATTTTAGATTAAGAGGGTACATGTGCAGGTTTGCTACATGGTCATATTGTGTGGAACTTAGGTTTGGGTTATGAATGATCCTATCACCCAGGTACTGAGCATCGTGCCCAGTAGGTAGGCTTTCCACCATTGCCCCCACCCCTTCCTATTCTCTGTCTAGCAGTTCTCAGTGTTTATTGTTCCCATCTTTATGTCCATGTGTACCCAAATGTTTAGCTCCCACTTATAAGTGAAAACATGCAGTATTTGGTTTTCTATTCCTGTGTTAATTCACTTAGGATTATGGCTTCTAGCTGCATCCATATTGGTGCAAAGAACATGATTTCATTCCTTCTTATAGCTGCATAGTATTCTATAGTGTATATGTATCACATTGTTTATGCAGTCCATGACTGATGAGCATCTGGGTTAATTCCATGTCTTTGCTATTGTGAACAGTGCTGTGATGAACATATAAGTACATGTGTCTTTTTGGTAGAATTACTTATCTTCCTTTGGGTATATACCCAGTAATGGGATTGTTGGGTTAAATGGTAGTTCTGTTTTTCTTTGGGAAATCTTCAATTGCTCTCCAGAGTGGATTTACTAGTTTATATTCCCACCACCAATGTATAAGTGTTCCCTTTTCTCTGCAGCCTGCCAGCATCTGTTGTTTTTTGACGTTTTAATAATAGCTATTCTGATTGGTATGAGATGGTATCTCATAGAGGTTTTGATTTTCATTTCTCTGATGATTATCAATGTTGAGCATTTTTTTCATGTTTGTTGGCTGTTCGTATGTTGAATTTTTGTGTTTGTTTGCTGCTTGTACGTCTTCTTTTGAGAAATGTCTGTTCATGTCCTTTGCTCTCTTTTTAATGACGTTATTTGCTTTCTGCTTGTTGAATTGTTCAAGTTTCTTATAGATTCTGGGTATTACACCTTCATCAGATGCATAGTTTGCAAATATTTTCTCCCATTCTGTAGGTTGTCTGTTTATTCTGTTGATAGTTTATCTTGCTGTGCAGAAGCTCTTTAGTTTAATTTGGTATGGTTTGTCAATTTTTGTTTTTGTTGCAATTGCTTTTGAGAACTTAGCCATAAATTATTTGCTAAGGCCAATGTCGAGAAGAGTATTTCCTAGGTTTTCTTCTAGGACTTTTGTAGTTTTAGGTCTTACATTTAATCTTTAATTCATTTGAGTTAATTTTTGTATATGGTGAAAGGTAAGGGTCCAGTTTGATTCTTCTTCATATGGCTAGCTCCTTATCCCAGCACAACTTATTAAATAGTGAGTCCTTTCCTCATTGCTTATTATTGTTGACTTTGTTGAAGATCATATGGTTTTAACTGCATGGCATTATTTCTGGGCTCTTTATTCCGTCCCATTGGTCTATTTGTCAGTTTCTGTACCAGTACTATACTATTTTGTTTACTGTAACCTTATAGTGTAGTTTCAAGTTGGCTATGTGATGCCTTCAGCTTTGTACATTTTGCTTAGGATTGCTTTGATTATTGATGCTCTTGTTTGGTTTCACATGAATTTTATTAATATAATATTTTTTTCTAATTCTGTGAAAAAAATGATGCTGGCAATTTGATAGGAATAGTGTTGAATCTATAGATTTCTTTGGGCAATATGGCCATTTTTACATTATTGATTCTTCCTATGCATGAACATGGAATATTTTTTCATTTGTTTGTGTAATCTATGATTTCTTTCAGCGATGTTTTATAATTTCTGTAGAGATCTTTCACCCCCTTGGTTAGGTGGATTCCTAGGTATTTTATTATTTTTGTGGCAGTTGTGATGGGATTGTGGCCTTGATTTGGCTCTCAGCTTAAACATTATTGGTGTATAGAAATGTTACTGATTTTTGTATATTTATTTTTTGTATCCTGAAACTTTACTAAATTGGTTTATTTTTCTAGGAAGCTTTTGGTGGAATCTTTAGGATTTTGTAGGTATAGAATCATATTGTCAGTGAAAAAAGATAGTTTGACTTATATTATTTTCCTATTTGAATACCTTCATTTCTTTATCTTGCCTGATCACTCTGGCTAGGACTTCCAGTACTATGGTGAATAGGAGTGGTGAGAGTGGGCATCCTTGTCTTGTTCTGGTTCTTACAAAGAATACTTTCAGTTTTTGCCCATTCAGTATGATGTTGGCTGTGGGTTAGTAATAGATGGCTCTTATTATTTTGAAGTATATTCCTTCAATGCCTGATTGTTTTGAGGATTTTTATTTTGAAGGAATATTGGATTTTAAAAATGTTTTCTGCATCTACTGATGTATTAGTCCATTTTCACACTGCTGATAAAGACCTACCCAAGACTGGGTAATTTATAAAGAAAAAGAGGTTTAAGAACTCACAGTTCCACGTGTCTGGGGAGGCCTTACAATCATGGCAGAAGGCAAAAGTCATGTCTTAGAAAGTGGCAGGCAAGAGAGAATGAGAGCCAAGTGAAAAGAAAAGTACCTGGGATTACAGGTGCCCGCCATCACACCCAGCTAATTTTTTGTATTTTTAGTAGAGACAGGGTTTCACCATGTTGGCCAGGCTGGTCTCGAACTCCTGACCTCAAGTGATCCACCCGTCTCAGCCTCCCAAAGTGCTGGGATTACAGGCATGAACCACCATGCTCAGCCTGAAATCTGCACTTTTGACAAGCATACCAGGTAATTGTTAGCCCACTGATTCATGAGAACCTCCACTATAGAAGAAGGAGCCAGAAGTGATCCAACAGTACTTTCCTCCGTGGCTTGATGGTGGAGCCTCTGACCCTGGGCCAAATGCTAAACTTTTCTGGGGAAAGCTACTGCCACGGCCCCTGGTACTGGGTGCTTGTGACGAATGTCAGGCAGAGCTCATAAGGAAACCAAGAGTCCTGTCCCCTCATGCCTTTCATGCTGCAAAACAGCTGCAAAGGCATTCCAGGAGTTGAGGACCACAAATTCTTTTGAGAATATGAGTCACCATTAGGCAATTCATGTTAATTCTTTAATTAAAAAGACCCTCACTAAAGAATAATAGTTTACAAATGCATGTACCTTTTGATCCTGCAATTCCACTTTTGGGAATTTATCCTAGAGATACACTTTATGCTTGCACATTTGTACAAGATTATTCACTGCAGAGCTGATTGTCATTGCAAAAGATTGGAAAGAATCCAAATGCTCATCATTGTGGAACTGGTGAAATAAATTATAACACATTTATACAATGAAAAAAAAAAGAAAAGGAAAACCCCTTATAAAACCATCAGATCTCATGAGACTTATTCATTACCACAAGAATAGTATGAAGGAAACTGCCCCCATGATTCAATTATCTCCCACAAGGTCCCTCCCACAACATGTGGGAATTATGGGAGCTGCAATTCAAGTTGAGATTTGGGTGGGGACACAGCCAACCCATATCAATTGAGATGATCATTTGTTTTTTGTTTAAAAATATTATTCAATACTAAAAAGAACTGAGCTATCAAGTCATGAAAATACATGGAGAAAACTGAAATGCATCTAAGTCAAAGATGCTATTCTGAAAAAGACTACGTTTTGCAGTGCATGTAAAATCTATGTTTATACGATATTGTATGATTCCAACTTCATGACATTCTGGAAACAATAAAAAATATCAGTGGCTGTCAAAGATTGTGGAAAGAAAGGCATAAATAGGCAGATCACAGAGGATTCTTTGGGCAGTGAAATTACTCTGTATGATACTACATTGGTGGATATATATCATTATTCACATGTGAAGCCCATAGAGTGTACAATATCAAGAGTGAACTCTAACGTAAATGATGGACTTTGAATAATGCTGCATCAATATAGGTTTATTGATTATAACAAATGTACCACTCTGATTAGGGATGTTGATAATGTGGGAGGCTACTAATGTGTGGGGTCAGGGAATATATGGGAAATCTCTGTAACTTCCTCTCAATTTTGCTCTGAGTTTAAAAATGCTCTAAAAATGTTTATTAAAAAATTAGGAAAGTAACACTTTCTAAAATGGATTTTATTATTATAAAAACAGATTCTTTTAAAAATTTATTTATTCTGGAACTTGTCTACATATGTTACCAAGTTTAATTATAACAGTCTTGGTCTGCCTTTTAAAATATTTGTTATATTTTTCAATTTTGTACAGATAGTTTAAAAACAATATAGGCAACCCAATATGTTGAACTGAAAATTACATTCTCTTCTTACTGAACCTTTAAATTTTGTTTACAACTTCCTATTTCAGGCAATATTTCTACAACAGCATCTTTTGCTTTTGGTGAGTTTTATTCCAAATACATATGTACCTCAGAGATATTGTGGAGTTGGTTCCAAACCACTGTAATAAAGTGGATATCACAATAAAGCAAGTCACACACTTTTTTTTTTTTTTGCTTTCATGGTGCATATAAAAGTTATGTTTACACTGCACTACACAGTCCATTAAGTGGGCAATAGTGTTAAGTCTAAAAAAAGTACATACCTTAATTCAAATATTTTCTTTTTGCTAAAAAATGCTATTGAACATCTGAGCCCTTCAGTGAGTCCTAATCTCTTGCTGACAAGATTTTGCCTTGATGTTGATAGCTGCTGGACTGATCAGGGTAATGGTTGCAGGGTGGCTGTCGCAATTTCTTAAAATAAGTAAAAAATGAAGTTTGCTGCTGACTCTTCCTTTCACAAAGTATTTCTCTGTAGCATGCAATGCTGTTTGATCGCATTTTACCCACAGTATAACTTCTTTCCAAATTGAAGTCAATCCTCTTAAATCCAGCAGCTGCTTTGTCAACTAAGTTTATGTAATATTCCAAGTTCTTTGTGTCATTTCAACAGTGTTCACAGTATCTTCACCAGGAGTAGTTTCCATCTCAAAAAATCACTTTCATTGCTCATACATAAGAAGCAACTTTTCATCCATTTATGTTTTATCCATATATTGCAGCAATTCAGATACACCTCAGGCTCTGTTTATAATTCTAGTTTCTTCCTATTTTCACCACATCTATAGTGACTTCCTCCACTGAAGTCTTGAACCACTCAAAGGAATCTGTGAAGGTTGGAATCAAGTTCTTCAAACTCCTATTAATGTTGATATTTGAACTCTTCCCATAAATCATGACTTTTCTTAATGAAATCTAGAATGAAGTATTCTCTTCAGAAGGCTTTCAATTTACTTCACTCAGATCCATCAAGAGGAATAACTATCTATGACAGCTATAGCCTTACAAAATGTATCTCTTAAATAATAAGACTTGAAGATCAAAATTACTCCTTCATCCAAAGGCTGCAGAATGGATGTTGTACTGATGAACATGAAAACCACATTAATCTCCTTATATGTCTCTTTCAGAGCTCTTGAGTGACCAGTTGTTTTGTCAGTGAACAGTAACATTTTGAAAGAAATCTTTTTTTTCTGTAAAGTAGCTCTCAACAGTAGGCTTAAAACATTCAGTAAACCGTGCTATAAACAGATGCGCTATCATCCAGGCTGTGTTCCATATTTAGAGCACAGGCAGAGGTTTAACATAATTCTTAAGATCCCTAGAATTCTTGGAATGGTAAGTGAATATCAGCTTCAACTTCAAGCCACCAGCTGGATTAGTCCCTAACAAGAGAGTCAGCTTGTCCATTGAAGCTTTGAAGCCAGGCATTGACTTCTTCCTCCATTGTAGGATTATTAACTGGCTTAATAAAAGTCCTGGATGGCATCTTCTTCCAATGTAAAGCTGTTCCATCTACACTAATTGTTTAGTCATTGTTCCATCTACATACATTGTTGTTTAGTGTAGCCACTTTCATCAATTATCTTACCTGAATTTTCTGAATAACTTGCTGCAGCTTCTCCATCTGAACTTTGCTGCTTCTCCTTGCACTTTTATGTTATGAAGACAGCTTTGTTCTTAAACCTCACGAACCAACTTCTGCTACCTTCCAAACTTTCTTCTGCTGCTTCCTTACCCCTCTCAGCCTTCACAGGCTTGAAGGCTTGAAGAAAGTTAGGGCCTTGCTTTGGCTTAAGGGAATGTTATGGATGGTTTGATCTATCCAGACCACTAAAACTTTCTGCATATCACTAATAAGTCTGTTTCACTTTCTTATCATTCATGTGTTCACTCAAGTAACACTTTTAATTTAAGAGCTTCCTTTGGATTCACAACTTGGCTAACTGTTTAGCACAAGAGGCCAGTTTTCAGCCTATCTTAGCTTCCCAAATGCTTTCTTTGCTAAGCTTAATCATTGCTAGCTTTTGATTTTAAGTGAGAGACACGAGACTCTTCCTTTCACTTGAACACTTAGAGGCCATTGTAGGGTTATTAACTGGCCTAATTTAAATACATTGTATTTAAAGGAATAGGGAGGATGGAGGAGAGGGAGAAAGATTGGAGAATGGTCAGCTGGTGGAGAAGTCAGAACAAACACAATATTTATCAATTAAGTTTACTGTCTTACATGGGCATAGTTTTGATACCCAAAAACAATTACAACAGTAACATCAGAGATCACTAATCACAAATCACCATAACAGATATAATAATAATGAGAAAGTATGAAATATTGTGAGAATTATCAAGATGTGACACAGACACATGAAGCTGTTATGAAAAATGACATCAATAGACCTGCTTGATGCAGGACTGCCACAAACTTTCAATTTGAAAGAAATGAAATATTTGCAAAGTGCAATAAAGCAAAGCACAATAAAACAAAGCATACCTGTATTTTATTATTATTGAGAATAAGCCTTTAAAATATATTTGTTTACCATTTATATTTCATTGAATTTTCTATTCTTTGATATACCCATTTATCTATTAGAAACAGTATTTTTCTAATATATTTAAATATGGTCTTTCTACAGTAGTCTTCTGACACAGTTCATGCAAATATTTTCCTCAGTTTATCGTTTTTTATTTCTTTTCACTGTATTGAAATTCTAGAATTTTATCTTTGGTAATCTGTTAGTCTACTTCTGTGTGATTGCCTCAAAGATCAGAAATTTGTCAGTCATCAAAATACATAATAATTACCTTTCTGCCATGTGTATTACCTTATATTTGCCTTTTCGAATTTATATATTGTTCCTCAAAATGGAAATTTTTTGTGTGTTTTATCTGATGTTTAAGTAACTGAAAACATTATTTTATATTAAAATAAATATATTATGTTCCAGTATGCAAAATTTGTATGAAGATCAATGTTAAGCAGGAAACATCAATCCACTTTCCAGTTAGAACCAACTGCTTTTACTTTGCTCTGGAGCCTTTGGCCATATGTTGGACTGTCCCTGCCTTTACATTGCAAGAGGGAAGTTGAGGTCCATTAGCAAATATTTGTGTCTAGCATCATTTATTTTGTTTTGTTTCTTCAGATAATATATGCTAAATAAATACTTCAATATACTTGCTTTGAAAAGCGAGATTTCCTATTTAAAGAAAGTCATTTGGCTTTATGTATAAGTACTGCCATCTATTCATTGAATCAAGTTTCCTTTTTTGTGTAAATCTGAGTTTTATTTTTCATTCCTTCAGAATATATTGGTGGCAGAGACTCAGATTTGTTCTTCTCATTGTCTAGAGTAATAGAAGTGTAGCAGGAAAAATGGCTTTCCACATTGCATATACATTTACTCAGCTTTTCTTCTGGCTGGGTGGGGCTTTGTGGTCAAATTATGGCCTAAGCTATGTGAAGGGGTGTGTTCTCTGCAACATCCACATCATGTCCTTAAAGAGAAGAGAGATGCCTTTGCCTCAACCTGCTTCCCTTCCTGCCAGCCTCTGAGAAAGCACAAGTGAGCAATACTAACCTGTACCCGCCAGGGTTCCTCCTGAAAGGCATGATGGAGCTGCTAACCAGAGTGTATTATTAAACTCTACTGAGTCTGGACTAAAATATTCTTTAAAAGTATTTACTAGACAAATTATTTGGAGAGCATATCCTTGGTTTAAGAATGCAAAGAGAAAAAAAAACGTAGTTGTCATTTTCAAACATGTTTAAGAGGTTTCAAAAGATCCAGTTTATAACATATAAAACATAGTATCAGAAGCCCCAAAGGATTTTTTATCTCACAACATGCTTCTGGAAGGCGGTGTAGAATTGTATAAAAAGAATTAAGGATGTTTCCATTATGGCAAAACTCACCAGCTCTTTTAGTTCTGTAACTTTGGTTAGTTTACTATTCTGAATTACAGTTTCCTCATTCTTAAAAAGATTATGCTGCAGTGTATTTTATGAAGATGTTTAGTTGATAAAATATACAAAATGCTTAACACTAAATAATGTTAGTTCCCTTCCTTATCTGCTTATCTGATAGTGTTACTATATCAAGATTGATTTTTTTCTAAATACTTGAAAGTCTTTCTTAGTTGACAAACACTTTGAGTCTTAAAAGTTACTTCGGTGTTGTGATTGTATTTTAGAATATTTAATAAAATGGTCCTTGGATTCCTCATTGTCTCATAAGCACTGAAATATTGTGGCCAGGAACATCTCAGCAGGAAGCTGGATGGGCACCAGGGAACAAGCCTTACTTTTCACACCTCAAAAAATTTATCTGGAAAATTAAAGAGCTTCACTGGGGGTTGGTAATTTTATCAGGATCTGTGCTATGTAAAAAATAAATGTATCACTGAGATTGGAAAAAGACTCATTCTAAATGATTAAGGAAAGCACACCTCTTTTTTTTTTTTCTTTTTGACAACTTGATTGGGGGGGAAAGGGTGGAAAATGGCCCTACTTAAGAAAAGTAAGCAAAGTATTGGCAGGCAGTGACTTTAAATTGCACATTAAACTAATCCAGGGCTATGCCTTAATAAAGGTGAGGGCTGGGAATTCTTATGGATTTTCTAGCTCATTGCTGGGACAACATAGAAAGGCAATAAATGTTCTATTACTTACACAAGCTGCTAGTTTTCAGAAAATTAGTCACCAGTGACCTTTTACCCTTTGTCTTGCTTTCCTCCTCAGTCACTGCACCTGAACTGAATCAAATGCAGACCAGACCACAGAGAAGTTTCTGGGCTAACCTCCTACAAATTGAAATAACTGGGTTTTGGTATAATCAATAAAATGTATCTATTAGGAAAAATATAATTTAATACATTTATTTTACCAGATACAAAAGGCTACATTCCCAAGTTGTTGTTTTAAGTGAAATAAATTTTATCTTACTTCAAACAAACACATCTCACTTCAAACAAGTTGAATATTTAAATGACATTCCATTGAAAGTTCTTTATTTTTACACAAAAACGACAATAATACAATGTTTTTTCTGTTAGCCCTTGCCTAAATGCAGGACCATGAGTGTGTGGGTAATGGTGGGAGAAGCATGAAGTGGCAGAGGCTAGAGTCTCAGGGTTGATAGTGAAGAGGAACAGAAAGGGAGAGAAGTTATGTGATATGGGGCATCCAGTCCTTATATTGAATTATATTGATTAGTTTTCCAGTTAGCAGGGAGACCTCCTTCTGACCCTATTTTCAGGGTCACTAGATCATAATGCAATCTCACCAAGAGGCTGGCATTCCTCCCCATATTGCTTTCTGAGGAAAGTATGGACCTGAAAATCGCCCATTTAAAGCTTTCTCTTTTTTTCCTCCTTTTGCTGGATTCTACCTAACAAATGCATATATAAATTGCATATACAGTGTAATAACACATGTTGCAATGGACAGAAGATAAGATATAAAAATGGTCCCAACCTTTTGCCAAAAGGCTATTTTAGAAATTGAATCTCATAAACAGCATTTCATCTGAATCAGGAAAATAAAATGAAAATATCTGACAAACAGGTGGGCCTGCTATAAGATCTGAACCATTTATTAGAGAAACCTTAATTTTGTGTTAAAGTATGGTTGAAGCATACAGCAAACACTAAATATTAAAGACATAATAAGGGATATTTTTCGTTTATTCATGTGAATTTTCATCTTATACCAAACATGAATGATTCACTAGCAGACCAAACAATTATGTGTCTATGAATATTTATGGACCAAAAAAATACCCGGGGGATTTTTTAAGAAGATGGCATAATTTCAAGACTTTTTCAGCCTTTAAAATTTTACTTATATGAAACAATCTGGGAAAACTGTAGTTTAAAAAGGCATTTACTGTAATTTATAGGAAACTCACAAAGAGACATTTTGATATTGTGGAGACAAAGCAAATGCATTTTTTACCTTTCAGCTAACTGTACTGATGTAGGACTATCTTACTGGCAATCTGTAGTAGCCATTAGACATGCAGTTGTAGCTTTCCGCAAGGGCCTGTTGGTACTTTGTGATCTGTTTCCTTACCTGCTATGCCTCTACCTCTATGTCTTCGTGTTTTATTTGACTAAAGGAAGCCTTCTTGTCTTTGACCACTGACTTCCTTCTAACATGCTAACCCAATCTTTTGGCTCTAGGCTGAATTTATGGTTCACTCTCACTGTTCTTCTTCTCACTATATATATATATATATATATATATATATATATATATATATACACACACACACACACACACATACACACACACACACACTTTTACTATTTGGTTGTTAATCTCATTTTTTCTCTATTTAGAGAGAGATCCTGGGCTGTAACATCACCCCCTGAGGCCATTATCTTAAGTGAAATAACTTAGAAACAGAAATTCAAATAACACATGTTCTCATTTGAAAATGGGAGCTAAATAAAATGGACAGAAAGAATGGTACACTCCAAAAGGTGGGAGGGTGGGAGGGAGTTGAGGGATGAGAAATTACTTAATAGGCACAAAATACACTCTTTGGGACATGGTTATACTAAAACCCCAGACCACCGCTAAGCAATATGTTCATGTGTTAAATCTGCACTTGTGCCCCCTACACGTGTACAAATTTAAAAACAAACAAAAAAATCACTCCATGAACCAAAATCTTCCGTTGACTCAATAGAATTGCTATATCATATCATCTTGGAAATGCCTTGCTTAAACTTCTTTTTATTAATTCGGGTCATTCTGTAATGTGTTAATATTAATAAGGTATATGAGGTGGAGATGTTGTTGAAAGACAGCATAAGTAACAGAATTGGTAGAACAATAAAAATGCAGAATCATAAAATAATTCTCCCCAACCAATAAGCAAGACTCAAACAATTGTTCCCAAGTCTTCAAGAAGTATCCCAGAACATACCCATTCTCTATGGGAATGTCTGCTCTCACTGTCTCAATCTGTCAGAAACATCAAAGGAATAGAGAGCATGAGTAATTTCTACTTTCTAAATTCCCTTCATATTACTGCCAAATGTGCTTTTTCACCAAAAGTGTCCACATATTTCAACATATTTTTCCTCCCATCAGACAGATTGTAGTAGGCCAAAATGCTCTGGAGGTGCAGATAAAAACAACCCACTGGCTGTGACTAGGATAAAGTTGATTTCTTGAGCCTGCCATAATCAGAAGAGCAAATGTGAAGCTCCTACCAGGGGATGTGGCTTTGCTGCTGCTTATAGTTACATGCCCAGAGGAAACAAATGTCAAGACTATCCTAGGTATCAGTTGGGATTTTTGAGGAAAATAGAGGGAGAGCTATAAAGAGAAAAAGTGGACACTGGAGGAGATCTTTTTAGGCCCCTTTCTCATGGAAAGTCTGCAATGGCTTGTTTCTATTTATATTACTTTGCTTACGAGTAAGTGTATAAAGAGTTTGAAGCTCAGAGAGTAAATTTGCAGATATCATTTAGACCTTAATTTGATATTTATATCTTGGATCATGTAGAGAAGTCTGGTTTTGACAGAAAATTACATGCTTGCTATCCATTTATGATACTGCATTCATTATAATGTAATCTTTGCTATGTTGTATGCATTACATTGTTGTTATATTTTATGTATGATATAATCAATAAAGAAATAATAAAAATAATTCTGAATGACTGTCTTGAACTGTTTGTACTTCAGCTGGACTATTTAGCAGTGAGTTAAAGCCTCTTTATTTTGGATGTATAACACAACAAAATTAAAACCTATTAAGCAGTTTTACTTCATTTTGTTAATAAGGAGAACTAGGGAAGACAAAAATGCCATCATTTTTCACCAACATTCTGATAAAATGACTTTATAATAATTATTAGGTGTTCCTGGAAGTCAAATTTAACTCTATGTAAATTAACATGAAAGTGTCCCAAAAGTGTCTTATTGAAGTTTAGTACCCTTCAGGGTTTGGCTGGAATGGCTGCCTTAGGTAGGGTGGAAATTGTTGTTTAGTGTCTATACCACAACTTAAAATGACAGAATTAACTAGTCAATTTGTTACACAGATCACCAAAATGTTCTAGAGGTAAAATCTGTTAACTTGAATATTAAAATGAAAACCCCTAGATAATCTCAGTCACAGTTAACTTATACCTAACAGGATACTTTTAAATGAAACTATAGAAAAAAGAATAAATTAGTATAAATTGATGAAATCACATTTGATTGATTTCATTCAATAAGCAGTCATTTCCTGAGAAGCTATTATTCTGTGTTAGATGTCACATAAAATGAGGGATACGAGAGGTAAATAAGACCCCAACCTGTCCCCCTTGGAGCCCATAGTTTGACTCACCTAATTGGCCCAGAATGCAGTATGTCTAGCAACATTTAAGATGTATACATCAAAATTTCCTTTAGAATGGTAACAGATTCATTTATTTCTTATTTTCATAAAACCATATGACCAAATATATGCCTGATTCTGCTGTAAGAAATAAACAATTACAGCTACTTAAATGGGAAAGAGATTTAGTACAGGGAATTGGGTACCCTTACAATTGCTGGAGGAGTGGAATTTTGCCAGGGTCCCAGAACACCACTGCCATTCTGCAGTATGGGGAAGGTGGGAATCAGAGAAGCTGCCAGGCGAGCTGTTGTGTTCAAGAGTGCTTGGCCTTAGCTGCTCTCCAGTCGCAGGAAGTTCCTAACATTCCTGCTCTAAATGCCTCCTAAACCCACTGAGCTGGGACTGGGCACGGTGGCTAACACCTGTAATCCCAACAATTTGGGAGGCCGAGGTGGGAGGATCCCTTGAGCTCAGGAGTTTGAGATCATTCTGGGCAAGTGGGAGGATCACTTGAGTCCAGAAGGTCAAGGCTGCAGTGAACAGTTATTGCACCACCACATTCCAGCCTGCTGCTGGGTGACAGAGCAAGACCTGGTGTGAAAAAAAAAAAAAAGAACCCAAAGACTAGAATACAAATGCCCAGCAAAATAAAACAGAACAAAACAGAACAAAAAAACAGTATCTTTAAAATCATAGCTATTAGCTGCACAAGAAGATGCAGCTGGAAGATGGTCCTTTTGTCTTCAAAATCTCACACAAGTGCAAACTTCAAATTGGTGAAATCTGATTTGCATCCTAAGTTCCACCTTTAAAGAAATCTAGTTAATAAACTTTTCAGCCTTCCAGCCCTTGGATTCTAGAGCTATCCACCTGAAAACGAAAGGGATGGTGCCCTATGCCAGCACAATGCATCTGCCACAAACTGAGCTACCGCTGACATTTCAAAAATTTTCTTCAAATCTTTTAATTAAAGTAGAAAAATATTAAATTGTGGGTATCCATGAGTCCTAAATTTACATTTTCTTCTTTCCTTGAACTTTGTGTTTCCTTCACAATGAATTGCTGCCACTAACTGCTTCTTCTGGGACATGTATGTGCTTACTTCTATCTGGAATTCATAACATTCACCAAGCTTGGCTTACTTCAAGACCCTGTAGATAGATGCCCACTAGGGCACCCATGCTCACCTAAGTCACATTATTTTACCTTCGGCGAAACTGGCTTTTTAGCTTTTTACTTGTGTTTCCTTGGCATGATTATAAGCTCACAGAGATAATAAAATGAGCCTTGTAGTCAGAGTAACTAATTTATTGCCTGCTATGTATTGTACACAAACAAATGAATGAAAGAGTTCTTTTACATGTGATAATTTATTTTATTTTGTGTAAATATCATTTTTATTACTAGACTCATTCATGTATGTATTTACTTCTATAAGCACTGATTAACAATCTGCTATGTGTAATGCATGGCAGATTGTGTGTGGTCCTGGAGATATCCTAACTGGAAGTTTAAAACATTCTCTAACCTAGATTTTCAAATGATGTGAAAGAGCGTTTCTTTCCCTGTACTATTCTTCACATATTTTAACTTTCCTAGGATGTTTTATAACAATTCCTTTAAAAGTCATCTCTTCATTTCTGTGTAATAGTTCAGATTTCATAAGAGAAAAGAACCAGTAAGAGGTATTTTATGAAAAAGTTTATAACAAGAAAAGTATAAAACATATTTTAATTTTAGTTCTTAGTTTGCTGTGTGACCTTGAACAAATCACTTTACATATCTCTATCCCTATTTTTTCATTTTCAATGTAAGCCTAATTTTAGTTTTTATTGCTTACCTAATAGAAAACTCAAGCTGCTTGAAATCTTAACAAAAAGGATGATGAGAATAATAGAAATGTGCTCTGAACTCTTTAGAGAAAATAAGTTGTATAGATCCAAGTTAGCATTTTAATTACATAAAACACAATATGGCATAGCATTAAAGAAAATCTCTTCGGACAGACAGCTTGGCTCAGTATTCTGCCCTGCTCTGGACAAACTGGAAGACTTGAGGCACTGTACTTGACTTTTAAGTACCTCAGTTTCCTCACATTTAAAACTATTAGAGTATTAACAAATGTAATTTCATTTCTATGAGTTATTTCAAGTGCTAAGTAAATACTATTTTTTTGTGCTTCATCTGAGTTTACTGCAAAAGCATCATACACATAGGTGAAAAGAAGCACAAAACAGACTTATAAAAGACAAACACAGTTTGTCTGTTAACCTACCTTACTATGTAGCATTTGGGTTTATAGAAGCAGGCCATACTTTTCAAAATACCTGTTTTTAAAAAAATTAACTGAAGGCATAGATTTCCTTTAGACTATTATTATTAACACATCATGTTGTATTTCCTAAGAAAGAAGCATTATTCTTTTGCCTAGATTTCTTTCAGTACTATTAAAATTTCCCACACTTCACTTCTGTAACAATTTGTATTGTATTGTTGCAATAAGGCACTAACATGCCCCTAAAAAATATTTTGCATGTAAGCATTATCTAAAATCCAGATTCATACTCAGATCCAGAGGCTTAAAATAAAACTTGTGGATTAAATTTTCTCATATATCATCATACTAATTGAAAACAGCCAGGTGTATTGGAGTCTTGTATAGAAAACCAGAAGTAGAAGATACAAGGTAGTGACAAAGTTAAAAAGGTGACATTTTGGGGGCAGTAAGATAATGGAAAGAATTTACTTTACAGTAAGATCTTTTATCATATTGAATATTGGCATGATTTGGCTGTGTCCCCATAGAAATCTCATCTTGAATTGTAGTCCTCCTAATCCCCATGTGTTGTGGGAGGGACCACGTAGAGATAATTGAATCATGGGGGTGGTTTCTCCCATGTAGTTCTCATCATAGTGAATTCTCAGGAGATCTGATGGTTTTATAAGGGGCTTCCCCCCTTTGCTGGACACTCATTCTCTCTCCTGCTGCCAAGTGAAGAAGGATGTGTTTGCTTCCCCTTCTGCCATGATTCTAAGTTTCCTGAGGCCTCCCCAGCCATGTAGAAGTGTGAGTAAATTGAATCTCTTTCCTTTACAAATTACCCAGTCTAGGGTATGTCTTTATTCGCAGCATGAGAATGGACTAATACAAATATATTGAATTTTTAGGAGTTCCATTTCATAGATAATGTTTGTCTTTGCTGTTTTTTTAATATTCTATTTATGTAGCACTTGCATGGCAGATAAATTTAAGAACAAATTGGAAGAAAGAAATCCTGTTTAGAAATAAAAGACAACTACAGACTTGCTTAAGAAAATAACCTACAGGAGCACCCAGATTCATAAAGCAAGTCCTGAGTGACCTACAAAGAGACTTAGACTCCCACACATTAATAATGGGAGACTTTAACACCCCACTGTCAAAATTAGACAGATCAACGAGACAGAAAGTCAACAAGGATACCCAGGAATTGAACTCAGCTCTGCACCAAGTGGACCTAATAGACATCTACAGAACTCTCCACCCCAAATCAACAGAATATACATTTTTTTCAGCACCACACCACACCTATTCCAAAATTGACCACATACTTGGAAGTAAAGCTCTCCTCAGCAAATGTAAAAGAAGAGAAATTATAACAAACTATCTCTCAGACCACAGTGCAATCAAACTAGAACTCAGGATTAAGAATCTCACTCAAAGCCGCTCAACTACATGGAAACTGAACAACCTGCTCCTGAATGACTACTGGGTACATAACGAAATGAAGGCAGAAATAAAGATGTTCTTTGAAACCAATGAGAACAAAGACACAACATACCAGAATCTCTGGGACACATTCAAAGCAGTGTGTAGAGGGAAATTTATAGCACTAAATGCCCACAAGAGAAAGCAGGAAAGATCCAAAATTGACACCCTAACATCACAATTAAAAGAACTAGAAAAGCAAGGGCAAACACATTCAAAAGCTAGCCGAAGGCAAGAAATAACTAAAATCAGAGCAGAACTGAAGGAAATAGAGACACAAAAAACCCTTCAAAAAATCAATGAATCCAGGAGCTGGTTTTTTGAAAGGATCAACAAAATTGATAGACCGCTAGCAAGACTAATAAAGAAAAAAAGAGAGAAGAATCAAATAGACACAATAAAAAATGATAAAGGGGATATCACCACCAATCCCACAGAAATACAAACTACCATCAGAGAATACTACAAACACCTTTACACAAATAAACTAGAAAATCTAGAAGAAATGGATAAATTCCTCGACACATACACTCTCCCAAGACTAAACCAGGAAGAAGTTGAATCTCTGAATAGACCAATAACAGGAGCTGAAATTGTGGCAATAATCAATAGTTTACCAACCAAAAAGAGTCCAGGACCAGATGGATTCACAGCCGAATTCTACCAGAGGTACAAGGAGGAACTGGTACCATTCCTTCTGAAACTATTCCAATCAATAGAAAAAGAGGGAATCCTCCCTAACTCATTTTATGAGGCCAGCATCATTCTGATACCAAAGCCGGGCAGAGACACAACCAAAAAAGAGAATTTTAGACCAATATCCTTGATGAACACTGATGCAAAAATCCTCAATAAAATACTGGCAAACCGAATCCAGCAGCACATCAAAAAGCTTATCCACCATGATCAAGTGGGCTTCATCCCTGGGATGCAAGGCTGGTTTAATATATGCAAATCAATAAATGTAATCCAGCATATAAACAGAGCCAAAGACAAAAACCACATGATTATCTCAATAGATGCAGAAAAAGCTTTGACAAAATTCAACAACCCTTCATGCTAAAAACTCTCAATAAATTAGGTATTGATGGGATGTATTTCAAAATAATAAGAGCTACCTATGACAAACCCACAGCCAATATCATACTGAATGGGCAAAAACTAGAAGCATTCCCTTTGAAAACTGGCACAAGACAGGGATGCCCTCTCTCACCACTCCTATTCAACATAGTGTTGGAAGTTCTGGCCAGGGCAATTAGGCAGGAGAAGGAAATAAAGGGTATTCAATCAGGAAAAGAGGAAGTCAAATTGTCCCTGTTTGCAGATGACATGATTGTATATCTAGAAAACCCCATTGTCTCAGCCCAAAATCTCCTTAGGCTGATAAGCAACTTCAGCAAAGTCTCAGGATACAAAATCAATGTACAAAAATCACAAGCATTCTTATACACCAACAACAGACAAACAGACAGCCAAATCATGAGTGAAATCCCATTCACAATTGCTTCAAAGAGAATAAAATACCTAGGAATCCAACTTACAAGGGATGTGAAGGACCTCTTCCAGGAGAACTACAAACCACTGCTCAAGGAAATAAAAGAGGATACAAACAAATGGAAGAACATTCCATGCTCATGGGTAGGAAGAATCAATATCGTGAAAATGGCCATACTGCCCAAGGTAATTTACAGATTCAATGCCATCCCCATCAAGCTACCAATGACTTTCTTCACAGAATTGGAAAAAACTACTTTAAAGTTCATATGGAACCAAAAAAGAGCCCGCATCGCCAAGTCAATCCTAAGCCAAAAGAACAAAGCTGGAGGCATCACACTACCTGACTTCAAACTATACTACAAGGCTACAGTAACCAAAACAGCATGGTACTGGTACCAAAACAGAGATATAGATCAATGGAACAGAACAGAGCCCTCAGAAGTAACGCCGCATATCTACAACTATCTGATCTTGGATAAACCTGAGAAAAACAAGCAATGGGGAAAGGATTCCCTATTTAATAAATGGTGCTGGGAAAACTGGCTAGCCATATGTAGAAAGCTGAAACTGGATCCCTTCCTTACACCTTATACAAAAATCAATTCAAGATGGATTAAAGACTTAAACGTTAGACCTAAAACCATAAAAACCCTAGAAGAAAACCTAGGCATTACCATTCAGGACATAGGCATGGGCAAGGACTTCATGTCCAAAACACCAAAAGCAATGGCAACAAAAGCCAAAATTGACAAATGGGATCTAATTAAACTAAAGAGCTTCTGCACAGCAAAAGAAACTACCATCAGAGTGAACAGGCAACCTACAGAATGGGAGAAAATTTTTGCAACCTACTCATCTGGCAAAGGGCTAATATCCAGAATCTACAATGAACTCAAACAAATTTACAAGAAAAAATCAAACAACCCCATCAAAAAGTGGGCGAAGGACATGAACAGACACTTCTCAAAAGAAGACATTTATGCAGCCAAAAGACACATGAAAAAATGCTCACCATCACTGGCCATCAGAGAAATGCAAATCAAAACCACTATGAGATACCATCTCACACCAGTTAGAATGGCAAACATTAAAAAGTCAGGAAACAACAGGTGCTGGAGAGGATGTGGAGAAATAGGAACACTTTTACACTGTTGGTGGGACTGTAAACTAGTTCAACCATTGTGGAAGTCAGTGTGGCGATTCCTCAGGGATCTAGAACTAGAAATACCATTTGACCCAGCCATCCCTTTACTGGGTATATACCCAAAGGACTATAAATCATGCTGCTATAAAGACACATGCACACGTATGTTTATTGCGGCATTATTCACAATAGCAAAGACTTGGAACCAACCCAAATGTCCAACAATGATAGACTGGATTCAGAAAATGTGGCACATATACACCATAGAATACTATGCAGCCATAAAAAATGATGAGTTCATGTCCTTTGTAGGGACATGGATGAAACTGGAAATCATCATTCTCAGTAAACTATCGCAAGAACAAAAAACCAAACACCGCATATTCTCACTCATAGGTGGGAATTGAACAATGAGATCACATGGACACAGGAAGGGGAATATCACACTCTGGGGACTGTGGTGGGGTCGGGGGAGGGGGGAGGGATAGCATTGGGAGATATACCTAATGCTAGATGACGAGTTAGTGGGTGCAGCGCACCAGCATGGCGCATGTATACATATGTAACTAACCTGCACAATGTGCACATGTACCCTAAAACTTAAAGTATAATAAAAAAATAAAATAAAATAAAATAAAAAAAGAAAATAACCTTATAAAATAAATATAAAATGGTTAAAAAAGAAAAAAAAATTATAACAGTTTGCTTTTAGTTCCCAATTAAATTATTAGAAAAACTGAGTAAATGCTTACAAATTGTTAAGGTTATTTGACAGAGTAATTTTAGGCCAATCAAATCTAATGATAAAATATGACACGTATTTTATATACTTCTAGTTTTCTTTTTTGATTTTTCACTTCAGTTTTGTAGTAACTAACTTTTATTGATTGTATTTTACAAAAGTATAGTCTATAAATGTACTGGAATAAAAATATACATACATACATATATAAGTTCCTGAACTTCCCCTCAGTGTGAGAAGCACTGTTCTAATTTATTCTCTGCAGTGGCCCTATTAGGCATACAGAAGGGATTCTACTACCCAACTCACATACTGAACATATACATCTCTGAGGGATTACATAATGTAGTTAAGGTCACAGAGCAAGGAAATGTTGGAATGAAATTCCAAGTTTATTACTCCATGTTTTATGCACTTTCCCTGATATCACACACTATCAGAGAAAGTAATACCACATGCTTAAAATCAATTTACCTGATAAGACTAATTTTGGTTAGTTAATAGCAATGTAGGGAGAAACATTCAGAAGATTACATCATCTATCCATCTGTTTATCTATTTATTTATCTGAAGACAGACTTCAAAAGGAAAACTTAAAAATTGGCTAAATACAGGAGAGAAGGAAAGAAAGTTTAAAGTCAGAATATTTTATGAGAGTATAAGAAGGAAGAAGAAGAGGTGGAATATATATATCTTATATATATGTGTGTAGATATAGACATACACACATATATACATATATACATACATATATATGTGTGTATATGTATATGCTCCTAACTTAGATGATCTTCTAAGATATGATGACTTAGATGATTTTCTACTAAAGATTACTTACATACATATAAGGTATATTCCACCTTTTATATGCATATGTATTACACATACACATATACATATGCATATAGAAGGTGGAATATATATATGGTGTACATATATACACATACACATATATATATACACATTAGTGTGCATGTTGTATAAATATATAATATACACACACACTTATATAATATACACACTTATACCACACATATAAACATATATATGTGTATATGTGTAATGAGTAAAACAGTTTTTAAACAAGAAGGAGAAATAAAAAATTGATATGACCAATTTTTGAGCCTTTATTTTAATGATCATCAATTAAAAGCCGGCATGGCAATGCAGTGCTGAAGATAGATATTGAATTCCCCTGTATTGGTTTGCCCCAGTCTGGGATCAAGATTGCCATCCTACCAGAGTAGTGTCAAGGGTTGTCCTGTTTATAAGCAGCTGTTGCATAGAGTGATCTGGGGCTTTTCATTTGAGAAGAATTATAAAGTTTAGGGACATTCTGGGGTCCAGTACTCATTAGGAGATGTTTCTCTTTTGGCCTCTTAGATGACTTAGATGATCTTCTATTAAAGATTTTATTGATGCATGTACCTGGGGAACTTTACCCATAGTAGAGACAGAATATGTTCACCATCTAAGAAAGCCTGATCAAGAAGATCAGGGGTCAACAGCTTGAACATTGTTCATTAATGTGTACAAAATGCTATCAGTGCTAATGCTGGCTAGGGTGGGTATCTGAGGAAACACATAAAATAAAATTAGAAATAACTAAAAGAATTAAGTTGTTTTTCTTTAAAAAATAAAAGGCTCGATGTCCAAAAAGTGTTTGGAGCTTTAGCCACATTGTTGCTGCCTTGAAGTTGCCCTCAGCAATACAATTTTGTAGCTAAGCCAATACTGGGGAATGTCATTCTGAGGGAACTTTGGATTTAATTCTCAATGATTTGGGGAGAAGTTTGCATAAAGTTAGTTACAGACAGTGATGAGGGTCAATTAATTTAGTGATAAGGTTTGTATCTGCAAACTGGTAACATAAATTTAAATTTAGTTTTGTTTATCAACATGTCAATTTTCCTGACTGGAGGAACATATTTTGTACAAACAATGGTCGCTTTGTTGGTAAATAAGGCACTACAACTCTCTAGTGGCAGATGCCTTGAATTTCTGACATACTGTAGGCACCTAGAGTTGCTAATTAGCTTGTTTTAAACAACACTAGAGGTACAACATTTATCAAATCAAATAGCCATTTCATTTTTTCAACTGGCATTTATTTGAAAACATACTACACTTTTACCTAATAAGGTAACCGAATTAAAGTTTTTCATTTACTGTACAAAACCCCAAAATTATCAAAACAGAGTATTAAATGTATTGTCATATTAAGTATGTGCACTTATTTTAAAGAAAATAAAACATTTCATTTAGATACTCACTAAAGTGTTTCCCCACTCACTATTAGGAATATGATCATATCTTTATTTTCCCTACAGGTTCTTAAAACTCAGAAAGGGTGAAATAAATATATTTCTTTCATGAGTCAGATATTTATGACTTAAAGACTGTAGTTAAGGATTGTGTTAATGCTTCCTTCACCCAAGTGACCTGAACCTTTTAGTAAATTCTGTCCCCATATTAGTTTTCATAAGTCAGGAAACATTTTCCATATGTCATGAAGCATTATCCAAAGGGAGTTCACAGCCACAGCGCTCATACTTTATCACGGTCACGTTGACTGAAATGAAAGCTCTTCTCAGTGATAGCACCCATCTGAGAGGTCAGAGAAAAGCATTTTTGGCACACTATTGTTCTCTCATTGGGTCAGCTGCCTCCTTGGACTGAAATTGTTTCACAATCTTTATTAAAATTATTATAAAAGAACAGCTGAAAAAATAAAGAATCTTATTTAGTGTCATCAAAGAAAAATTATCTGTCCCAGAGCAATATAATGCAATTTAACAGCCAAAACGAACATCTAGAAATAAGCAGAGGCATTAAAAATTGCTGAGGACCACAGAGTGCATTACTTTCAATAAACTTAAAAAGCAGCAAAGAAAGAAAAAAGAACGGAGATTTGGGAGGCCGAGGAGAGTGGATCACTTGAGGTCAGGAGATGGAGACCAGCCTGGCTAACATGATGAAACCTCATCTTTACGAGAAAAAAAAAAAATTAGCTGGGTTTAGTGGTTGCATGCCTGTAATCCCAGCTCCCAGCTACTTGGGAGGCTGAGGCCAGAAAATCACTTAAAGCCTGGAGGTGGAGGTTGCAGTGAGTGGAGATCCACTACTGCACTCCAGCTTGGGCGACAGAATGAGACTCCTTCAAAAAAGAAAGAAAAGAAAGGAAAAGAAAAAAGAAAAGAAAAGAGAAAGAGAGGAAGGAAGAAAGGAAGGAAAAGAAAAGAAAAGAGAAGGAAGAGAGGAAGGAAGGAAAAAGAAATGTCAAAATTAGAAAATTATTAAAAAGTTGGAAGAGAAAAACTGCTGTGGAAAATTATAAAAGCATAGCAATGAAGGTAAAAGTAAAATGAAAGAAATTATGTAAGGCTTAAGTAATTAGACTAGAAATCAAGATTGTATAAATTCTGCTGTGTTCTTACACATTAATTGTTCTTACACATTAAACAAAGTATGTTTACACATGTTTAATAAGTAAAAATGAAGGGAAAATTATTATGTGTTTAGAATTTTTATCCCTAAATTCTCATAAGCATTTATAGAATATGATTGACAAGAACCACTTTGCATGGGCATTATCTTTGACTAGTGAGAGCATTCAATAGACATGAAGTTTGTCTATAAAAACATTATCTATAATGCCCTTGGTATTGTTCATAAAATAATTTGATGTCATTACCACATCAGTTTGAACATTAGCACTCAAAACAGGAATAGTACAATAGATTAATTAGATCATACATGATTTAATTAAAAATTTTAATCAGGAAATAACGCATGTTTAATGGAAAATGCACAAATTAGGAAGACATGTCTACGTTTAAAAATGGCTATAAACAGAAAATAATTACATTCTAGATTTCTATGTTAAACTATAGGATAAATTATTTTTAGAATGCATGCATTCCATGTGTAATATCCAGCATACTATGATTTCTTAAATGTAACTCTTTGTTATAATGTTTGCATAAGCAAAACAGTATTTCCTTTCTTGCCCTTCACCATTTCTGCTGTAGTTTAATGATGAGCAAAATTCAGATAATGAAAATTGTTCTTACCCATGGGGTTGTAAGCTAAGTAAAATAGAGGGTAAGAAATTTATCCCTAGAGTCCTCTAGATGAGAAGTGCAAATTTGATTAGCAAAACATATACCTGACAATAAGTATGTTAGGCTACCCTGAATGAAACTAACTATTATCCTCAGAGACTGGCTGAGAGGCCTGGTTAAGTTTCAAAGAATATAAATTATAAATTAAAAGACTTTAACAATAAAACAATTTCTAAAACAATCTTAATTAGTTGAATATTTTTTAACTGTCTCACTCTACAGCAGCTGTTCTCAGGACAACAGAACTCTGCATGTTGACAAAAAACATAGCAAAACAAAATTAAACTACCTTACCTTTGGTAACAAATGACAAAAAAATGAAAATGAAAGAATGACAAATAGGAATATGAAAGAATTTAATAGTACACACATAAAAACTTGTTTAAAAAGATAGCAAGCAACAAATTAGTAAGAATGCCCCATCATATAATTCATAAACTTTTACCTCTCACGTGCAAATGTATGTTTCAAAAGTTATTGTATGTCCTCAAATATACAACTTGAAATTTTTGGTGAGTAGCAAACATTCTCTGCGTCTTAGCTCAAAGACATAAAAGATTTTACAAATTATGCCTATGTTCAGAACAACATAAATTCTGTCTTACATGTTCATGAACTGACAATGCAAAATAAGCCTTTTCTCCACCATGTCCAATGTTTTAATTGGTCACTTGTCTTTCATCAACACTAAAGTTTTTAGTGCTTCATTTTGCTGATTATCAGGATAATTGGGCAGCTTTTAACATACAAAGCGACAGGGTGGAATTATTTAAAGTATTTTTAAAATGCATTTAACATGAACATCTATGAAGTTTAATCTCTTTTGCACTAACTTTTTAAATCCACAGAGAAGTATTTTTTTTTTTAAGAAACTTAACTTCCTTGAAAGGCAAGGAAGGAGGCTCATGGCCCAATTCTTTCTACCAGTGAGAAAGTTCTTTAAAGACCAAATGTTTTATTTTTAGAATTTGTGCCAATTTTTCTTTCTACTCCTGTACACATATGTGGCTACCAGCTTTCACTTTTGTGCCAGACACATTCCTAATTTGAAAAACATAGTTGTACAGCAATGAATGAAATGCCAGCAAATTATGTCTGCATAAGTCTTTACATGAGTTTTTATAGAGCATCACTTTAATAATTTTCAGTTTGTTCAGCAAAGACAAAACTAATGATCTCATGTAAGAAAGGAGGAAATTTACATGGGAATTTTGGCAACATGATCTATGTTAGTATTCTATGGCTGTGTAACAAATTACAACATACTTAGGGACTTAAAAAAACTCAAATTTATTACCTCAGCATTTGAGTCAGGAGTACTGGAATAAGTTAATGAGGTCCTCTGCTCAGGGTCTCACAAGGCTGAAATCAATTAACAAGGCTGCAGTCTCATCTGAGGCTCAAGCGCCTCTCACAGGTTCACTGGTTGTTTGGACAGAGTTCAACTTCTTGTGGTTGTAGGACTGAGGTCCCAGAGACTGCCTGCTGTTCCCTGTCATAGAATGCTCTCACAACACAGAAATTTGCTTCTTCGTGGTGAAGGAGAGAATGTCTCTGGTGCTTTGAAAACTATTTTAAAGGGCTTGCTGGATTGGGTAAGACCCACCCAGGATTTCCTTTTTAATTAACTTGAAGTCAACTTATTATGGACATTAATTACACCTTAAAAATCCATTCACTTTTGCCTTATAAACTAATCACAGGAATGATATTCTATTGTATTTACAGGTCTCATTCCTACATACGGGGAAGAGATATATGGGGTGTGTATACAAGGAGTTGGAATTTTGGAGGATATTTTAGAATTCTGCCTACTACCTCATGTTTCTGAAACATTTTTAAAATGATTTTCATGAATATAAATAAAAAAGAAGAATTTTACTGTTATTTCAAATGGTAAAATGATATAATAATTTGCTATACATTATTATGCATATGGTTGAAGTATTGCCTATATAATATTGTTAGCCAATATAATTTTCATAAGAATTACTCATTTTACCACTGAAAAACTATTTTTCACATTTCCTGTGGTAATACAGACAGTAGATAATAGATAGATGATACATAGATAGATAGATGATATCTAATAGATAGATGATACATAGATAGGTGATGTAGACCATACTTAAACTGAAACAGACAATAATTAAAGCACCTATTAACTTCTATGCAATGTGACTTTTTAATAGGGCTTTCAAATGTTTCTTTCTGATTGGGATTCTTCGAATTTTAAGAATTGTCACTAGATTGTAAGTGAAAACATATACATATATTAAACTGACCATACTGAAGCATTTTAAACTATGTAAAATATCTAATGTCTCATTCTTATAAGGGTGATTTAGAAGAAGAGGCAAATGTTCTTATATTTCATATTGGATATGCTATTCTATGTTATTCTTAGTGATGGAAGAGGCAAGCATCAGTTATGCATATCTTGAATTAAAGCAAGAGGACATAGTCAAGCCCCGATCTGTAACAGAATTTTTGTGAATGTGATATTTATCTATGTAGAATAGAGAAAATCTTATTCAAAAGCAATCACAAAATTGAAGAAAATTAAAACAAATGCCAAATTAATATTGATGGGAGAAACTAGATAGAGAAAACAAAGACAAAATTCTCTATCCCTGGACCAACTTTTGATTAATTACATGTAGTTTGTCTCACAGAAGGCAAAGCCAGATCTCCAGGAGAAGTATAGAAAAGCATAAAGGATGTTTTAGCAAGAGCAGGTAAATGATTACTTGTCACTGTCCTTGAGTGGCAGATATGCATTAGGGTGGCAGACACATCCTGCTAATTGGCATAGAAGCACTGCATGTTGACTTGTATGGAATTGTTCTATCTTTCTATACCATTCTGTATGTGTTGTGGGGTAAATTCTGGAAATCCTTACGAATCTCAGTGACCACTAATTGGTTAGATTCTCTATCAGAAGAGATCTAGGAATAATCTCCAAGCACAATGAAAAAGTGGGAAGAAATGTGAAGAACTTGGGAGCACTGAATGTTCTAAATTATTGTTTGAGTAAGAATGTTGTAACTTTATGAAGAGAACCAGAGATCATCGATGTAAATGACCGAGTACTAAGACAGTATAAAAGAATTGGGTAGATATCTGGCTATGCTTCAGAATACCTGAAGGACTACCTTTTGATTAGCAGGTGAAGTGCATCCTGCAGTGACAGCAATACTTTTGCTTGATATGTCACTTATTGGTTTATTTTTTCTCAGCCCCAAATTCTGCTCAGTGAGAATGAATCTGGGCCCTTTTTGACTGCACAGTGAGAATGAATCTGGGCCCTTTAATTATGCTTTCCTTTTTCATTTGGCATGGAAGCTTTGTCAATACAGGGCTCTGAAGAGTCATTGCAGGAGGTAAAGGTTTTGTTTCCCAGTTCTGATTTTCTTTCTCTCTCTGCAGGCTTCTACAACATGCTTGGTCACTTCAACACCAGGATCCTGCAGCACTCGCAGCTTCTTCAGTGCCTAGCTCCTGTGGTGTAGGTGCATATCAGCCAACAGCACTCAGAAACCCAGTAGCATCTTCCAGCATTCCCTCCTGATTCTGTATGTTTTTTTATTCAGAGTGCCTAAGGTAAAGACATCTTATGATCAGCTTTCCTCAGCACCCCAGAGGGAGAATTTCCTGCAAGTTCTGCCGGCATGGCACCGCAAGACTTCTCTGTCACCCAGTGAGCATGACTGTGCTCACAGGTCTGAACTGCAGCTCTGAGAGGCAAACCAGGAGGACCTTTCTTGGATGTTCCATCTCAGGTGCTTCTTACTACTCTGTATTTTTTCAGTTCCCTTTTATTAATAATAACCAATTCCTTGTTGCTTCAATCGCTTGTTATATTAATAGCTAATAATCCTTTATATTAAGCTTTCTTGTTATAATTACCTTATGTTTTATCTATCTTGGTTGGCCCCAAACTGATACACCTTCCAATTAGTTGGCTATTAGAAAAAGGCTTCCAGCTGCTGTACTGAGCAAATTTTTTACTAAGTGTTTACAATGTATTATATTTGTGTCAGGTACTAGGGATATACAGCAAACAATATGGATGTAGACCCGATCCTAGCCCCCATCAAATTAAACCCTACTTACCCAGATAAAATGTAAGCAGGACATTATAATACATTCCGTTATGTTCTGGTGGAGGCATATTGCATACTGAATTGAAAGGAGAAATGACAGGATGATAGAACCTGGAAGGTTATATCCTGAGTCATATGGAAGACATTATACTTCTGAATAGGTGTGTGCACTATAAATAAAATCAAAGAGAGAATGTTTCAGAAAAGCAAAACAAGAAAGTATTTTGTGAGCATCAGAACATTGGATGATGGTATGAGATCTCTCAAGTATGATGAGCTTCCTGGCACTAAAGATATTTAAGCAGAGACCAAATAGTCATCTTATAGATTTAACTTTGGGTCAAATGATTTTTAACGCACTCTTCAACCTTTTGTTTCTATGACTATAAAACTAAGTTATAGTTACTTTATCACAGCATATCTGCTTTTTCTCCTGTGCAACACAGCCCACCCAATTTTATTTTATCCTGCCTTTATGATAATTATAAAGCTAAAGAGCTTATTCTCAACATCTTCTTAAACTTTGTGGCACACATAGAATTTCCTATTGACAGATGTTATTCAAGTCAGTCTTCTAATTTCTTTATAATTTCTTGTCCTACACATTTCATACTTTTCTTTTGTATATCTGTGTATCAGGCCTTCCTATGCTCTGTAACAAAGCATCCAATTTTTCAGTGGCTTCTAATAATTTGTTTATATTCTTGTAGTGGTTACCCTAGAGATTGTCCTATGCATTCCTAACAACAGCATAATATAAATTATTTTCTCATTACCTAAATAGTAGTACTTGAGTCTTAGAAACATTTAAGTGTTCTCTTCTACCATTTACATTTTTGTTGTCATACATTTTAGAAAAACAAAATTGAGGAATTGTGTTTTGGTCAAAGCCTTCTCAGTTACAGATAAGAGATTTTAGTGAGGTGTCCAGAACTCCTACTTTTGCTCAATTGCAGGTTCTGGGCTATCCCTATGTTTCAAGTCAGGATAGTAGCAGTACCCAAGATATTCTTGAAATACAGAGCAGTCCCACTTGCCAGGGATAGTTCCAAAAACTTTTTACACTTCAGCATATTAATTATTTGATATAAACCTCAGTGAAATCTGAAATTCCCTGAGACTCTAGATTGTACTGAGTCCTTTAAAACTTTCTATTTTCATTCCAAGAAGAAACTGAGTGTCTAGCAAACACCATTGTGAACCCATGTATAGAGGAAAAAGCAGATGATGAAACACTTTTGGGAAACTACCATTGGAATATGATCTATCTATCGAAATATATATATATGTATATACGTGTGTGTGTGTGTGTGTGTGTGTGTATATATATATATATATATATGTATATATAAAGTTAAAACCAAGATGCTCCAATAAAGAAAATGTTTACACAATACTTTATGAAAAGCTATCTGTATTCCCAATGTAGGCCTCCCTGATATAACCCCACTAAGGTTATCCTAGATTAGATGAGCCCATGGTTCTTAACCATGACAAGTGTAGATCCATGCAAGAGTAATCAGATCTAGAATGACCTCTTACTATCTGTAACTGTAACTGCATCTCTCAAGGTTGCCAATGGTCCATCAGGATTAGAAATATTAAAATGCATGTCTACCTGCTTTTTTTTTTTAACTTTACCTTACTCTTAGATACAAAGATGAGCTGCTGTATAAGGAGTTGTGGAAATGAAAGAATATTCCTTAAGTTCTAGAAATTGTGTTAGGCACATTTATACATTATTTCAGATAAACTTGGCTTAATATGCAAAACAGATATTATCAACCCCTTCTTATAGATGAACAAACTAAGACAAAAATAAGTACAGTGGTAAAACCAGAATCTGAACACAGATCTCTCTTGACCCCACATTCATAGCCAGTCCACTTCATTAGCTGGCCTTTCTATTTTGATTTGTGATTGTTACAGAAAAAAATTTTAAAAGATTATGGTACATGTCTTAGTATGAAGTTAAAGATCTTATATTAGACGTGTTAATTTTTAGGATTGAGCTACAGCAAACAGAATGGTTGTCATCAAGCATAGTTTGTGTAAAGTGACTCTAATATTTTCCCAGGAATGGTAGCATATGTTTTGTTGCTCAGTGAAATTATTGACCATGCTGTCTTCTGAGTCAGGGACATATTCTAAGATGTATAACTTTGTTTTGATAAACTTCTAGCAAGAAGAATTAGCTGCGCTCTCTTTATCTGGTAGTCTGATAGCATTATCTGTGGGATTTTTTTATGGGGCAGATGTGGGTATTTTGCTTTTTCTAATAGGTTATGCCTCAAGTAACTGTAACTCTTTTCCCAATTATCCTAATAGTGATTTCCAAAGACATAAAATACATTAATTGTTAAGGCTGTCATTTGCTCCACATTGCCCTTGGCATAGAAAGCGATAGAGAATATACATTAAAAAGCATCTAAATGTGTGTTCAAGTTGGAAACTCTTAATCCTTATCCATTAAGGAAAATTGAAGTGATTTAGTGGGGCACAGATCACCACCTTAGGAACACACAAGTGAGTGAAAGATTGAGGATTATATCATAAAAAATGGGGTAGGTAAACTAACCGTTTTCAGAAAAGAATCCTGGGGCAAACTTAAGAAATTATTAAAGAGAAGCACTGGTAAGGGCTTTAAAGCTTTTGATAAATTAATAAGAATGACCCAGGTTAACCCATAAATTAGCCAAGTCAACTATCAATGTTTTTCATGGGAGCAACACAGAGCCAGAAAACAAAATTTCAGTTTTGATTTGTAGGCCCATTTCTGTATGTTCAAAATGGATTGGAGTTTTAAATTATCTTCCTGATATACTTCACATTTCTTCTCCTATACTTCTAACATATATTGCTATGCATTTTATCAACATCCATTCTCTCTGAATACTTTTTATTTCTTAGCATAATATTTTATTTCAGGCATACTCCTATATGATGTACATTTATTTTTCTTTTAAACTATATATACCTTGTGGCATAATCTAAATAGAAGAAACATAGTAAATGTTTCCAAAATGTTAACACTACTTATAGTTTCTTTATATCTTTCTTATAATACAATTCCTAACCAGCTCCAATCCATTGTAAACAAGGCATAATAAAATATATATATATGCAAATAAATATATAGATTAAAAATAAATTAACATTTTACCTTCACTTCAGAGTATTTTTAGAGATTTTAAAACATCATTATGTAATAAAATCTTGTTTAAAAGCACTGACCATTTGTGATTAGAAATTAAATTTCTGATCATTTAAGAAAGTTAAACAGTAGTATCTCTTTTCTGTGGTTCCAAGAGTTCAAGTCTCTTCAGAAATTCAAAATTTTGTGTAAAGTTTACAAATTTGGTCATATAGTATAACCTAGTATTCCCAAGAGAAGAATTAAATTAGAAATTTCTTTCTGAATCTACTGACGTGATAAGTCCAAAATATGACATGCTGCCCTTGTTCATTTTCTTGCATTGTTGAGATTCACTTAATTTTATGTCATCTATCCCCATTCAAATTTGAGGGAACTTTTTTTGTTTAGATTGCCATTATATTTATGAGCAGTAGGTTAATGATATTTATATTTGAACACAGAATTCCTTTAATTTTTATTATTTCTTAATCCTATTTATTCAGAAGTTAATTGACTTCCTTAAAAAAATTGAGTACTAGTTACATAAACAGACATGTTGTGAACACTTCTTGTTATCAACTCTCTGAAGATAATGGTAATAGGCCTATTTTACTATAATTAGACTAAATTAATTCAAGTTAGTTAATGAAAGAAAATGGAGTCCATAGAATATTTCCATGTCATAAAAATGAAATTCCAAATTAAATGAAATTGTTTGCTTTAAAATACTATAGCATTCAGGCATATAGAGATTTGCTTGAAACCTGGGAGCATTATTGCTGTGCATCCTCTGATTATGACACACACAGTAATATCAGGTTGAAACTAACACAAAATTGATTAAGTGTGTAGAGTCTTCGTGAAAATGTTCAGTACACATAAATATTTGGTGAGCTAAAAAATATTTTACATCTGGAACTAATTTAAATATAAAACAGAATTTCATTTCATTGACTATTACACAATTTAATTAATTAATTAATACACAATTACACAATGAAAATAATTTTTCAAAATCAAAAGACTTGGGGAGAGAATGGAATAAGAAATAAGAGCCTTAAAATATTCTGAAGTAAAACATCTCTGTATGAAACTAACCTTCCAGTATCAATCATCTTCTGTGTGTGGCTTCAGGTTTCAGATTCCATTAATTTGAAAGAGCATCAGTCTACTGAACAATGGAGAGATGTTTTTTCAGAATCAGGATATAAACCCTCTTTTGACAATCTGAAGTGTGATTTTCCCAGAGGTAATCCATTTCAAACCAACAGTGACTACTCATTTTAATTAGTTGCAGGCAGTTTTGTAAATTAAATTCCCTCTTCTGAAGTCAAAATTCCAGAAAGAGAATGCTTTCATTTTGCTAATTGCTAAATGAGTTTCCAGAACAAGGTAGAATGAAGGAAGGGGTTTCTAATCAGTAGGCACCTCTTAGAAGGCACACACCTGTGACTGTTGAGCAGTATCTTAGTAGGGCTGGAATGTTACCACATTGAGTGTACATGCTTGCAGTTATCTCTCAATCCATACTAATAGATTCAGTTTACATTAAAGACAATTATTTTTCCCCCTTCAGTCATACGCCTTCATGATTCTGACTTGAATTGGACATATGTGATGTTATTTGAATTAAAAGTATGATCTAATAACCCAATACAAGACCTGATGTTTTAAAGTACAGCATTCTAATCCCTTTTGTGATATTCACTCCCTTAGTGGCCTAAGGCAAATATCTTTTTCTAGGTTTCAAAGACATATGAAAGTGCATGTAAACATAGAAATCACACACGCCTTCAAAAGCCCCTCTACCTCAATCAAAGGAAAGTACTTGCTTGAGATCCAATTCAGATCTGAAAGAAAACTTAGAACTGGTTTCTCTATGCAAGTAAAATTTTTGAAGGCTTCTTCCTACTTGAACATCTGCAATCCTTGGAAATGGCTTTAGGCAATTCTCGGAAGGATTCTCAAGGAGAGACTGACCCCTGGAGGCGGACAGAGCTCTCTTTTGGCCAGACCTGGCTTTCGTTATTCCCAGATATCAGGTAAAGAACTCTGACAAGAGAGGATGAGATCCGTGGGAAATTCCAATGTGTGCCTCACTTGCCTCCCTACCTTCTCTAAAATATTTGAAGACAAGGTAATGAAACAATAGGTGGTAGAATATAAATATTTTTTAAATCATGTGCTACTGGACCGTAAACTCCATGAGGGCAGAGATTTGTTCTATTTATCTTTATAACCTCATCTCTTGGTGCAGTGCCTTGCACTTAGCACTAAATAAAAGTCTGTAGAAGGATTAAATGAACAATTTAATAAATTTCATCTAATTGTTTTACAAAGATTAAGTAAATTGCACAAGGGTCCTATACTTAGCAGAAGACATGAATGTTGGCTGAACATCCATCAAAAACAATATGGGCAGGATGAAAGTTTAAAAACATTCAGCCTGAGAGGAGAGTCAGAAGCAGCCCCATGGAACAGAGAATAGCTGTAGTTATTTTATGTCAGCCCTCAATCACTGCCCCCCACTTTTCTATCTTTGGAATGGCTTTGATGATTCTTTTCAGAAGGAATCCATAAACTTCAGTGGCTTCATATCAACACGAAAAGGGAAGGGGTGGGGGAGGTACTGCTTGCTCTGTGTGGCTTATAAGTTTTAGGCCAAAACACAGTCATGATGAGAAAACTTTAGCTTCTCCAAGATTACTCCCCATTGACCAATGACTCAAGCTAATCTAAGATATTAAATATTGTTAATTGACATTACCTGTGGTAAGTCATAGTTTAATTATTATTTGTTCAGTTACTTAAACCTTAATGCTAATAAGTGAATCATGTAAGAGAAATTTTGGTTGTGGAAAGAACACAAAGTTATTGTAGTTTTGATTACTAAATACTTGTCAAGGCTTTAGCAAAGCAAAGGCAGAATGTTTTCCCCTAATAATTCAATATATGATATCCCCCCAAAAGGATGAAGTTAGTTAAAAAATATTTTTTATTTTACTTTATTTATTTTGTTTTGTTTTAACACCATTTGAAACTATATTGTGGGTAGGGCTCTGTATTTTTCTTTGCTGCTTAAGGTCTCTTATGAGCTCATGAGTGTGCCCATGTGTCTAGTGTTATAGCATTAAAAAAAGGAGTAGATAAGACTTTATAAATTTCATTATCTTATTAGAACCAATCATGCTTTCTCTCCATTTAAGTTATGCTCTAGGGAGAAGTCTTTGAGAAAAACTCAACTGCAAATCTAAGCTAAACTTCTCATCTTTCTTGCTCCACAAATATGTAGTCTATCTTTTTATATACCTCTAAATTTTTGCTTCAAACTCTTAACTCTTCAAATCTCCTCAATTCTTACTTTCTCTGTTCACATAAGTTTAGAATTAGTCTACAATGACAGTCACATTCATTTCTTCTCTTTCTTGAGAAAAAAAAGCTTATTTTCTGATTATAAAAGTAATTTTATGCTCCAGGTATAAAACAAAGACAATTATAAAGAAAAAATAATTCCTAATTCTACTACCAAAGAAAACTACTACTAACATTTTATAAATTTCATTCTTGGATTTAATAGCCTATACTATATATTTCTTTTCAAAGTTTGCTTTTCTCACATAATACAATACTTTTCCCTTATCTATGGGATATGTTTTAAGACTCCTAGTGGATGCCCGATGCCACAGATAGTACAGAACACTGGATATATTATGTCTTTTTTACATATACATGCCTGTGAAAAAGTTTAATTTATAAATTAGGCACCGTAAGAGATTAACAGCAATAATTAATAATAAAACAATTAGACCAATATAGCAAAAGTTATGTGAGTGTGGCCTCTCTCTCTCTCCCCCACTCCCTCTCCCTCTCCCTCTCTCTCTCTCTCTCTCTCTCCCTCTCAGAATATCTTGTTGTATGTAATATTTTCAGATTGTGGCAACTGAAACCACAGAAAGCAAAATTGCGGACAAGAAGGGACTACTTTGTAACATTTTGATATCTTGATACTTTTGTTTTAATGCTTTCTTGTTGGCTTTAACTTCTTTTGTTTTTCTAACTTTTTAAGTATTGAGTGCATTAGTGAATATGCTTTTAATTTTTATAAATTCTACTGGTGGTACTTTATTTTTAAAAAACATTTTAAACATATTTATCTAGTTACCAAAATCATGAATGATTTATATTATTTGAAACTATACTAACCTATTTTCAGCCCTTCCTACCTCTCGTCACCATCTCTCCTCATTTTCCAGGTTTGATTACTTTAATTAAGGAAATGATTAAAAAGATTATCATTATTAAAATTTTATTTTTGATTATCTATTTTCTATTTTTAAATATATATTTTAAAATTTGCAAATATATTTAAGAATAAATTTAGAAGAAGTATCCCACCTTAACCCTACTTGACTAATTTAAATGAATGCCATCATAACTTTTACTATAAGTTTACCTCCTTTGGTTTCCTAATTTAGATTTAGCTTCTTAATGTTTGAATGTACCTTTAAGGTTTTCTCCTGCGTTTTTGATGGTAAGCATTTTTGTGATTGGGATTGACTGAGTTTTTTTTACCCATTCTATCTACAAACTCAATTGCAATATCTTCAATTGTGTAGCTGGTCAGTCCTTCTGTTTCAGGTATTTGTATTGTTGTTATTGATGACCTTTCTTTCCCAAGAGGAATTCAGAGACAATACAGCAGAAATCAACTTTCATTTATTTCTCTGTGACATCTTTAATTAACCCTCAGGGGAATGTATAACCCACTAAGACTGGGCTAAGACTCTTCAAGCCAGTAGAAATTGGTTCATATGCAACACAGAGATGTCATTTTCCTCTCCCCATGCTTAGCAAATTCCTGCTTCTCTCTTTTCCTTTATGAGCCACTATTTACTAACTCTGCATTTAAAAGATAAAAATAAAGTTTTAGAAAAAAAATCTGATTTCAATGATTGAAAGGTCAGCCAAAACTTACAAAAACAGAAATCTTACTTAATGCTCCAATAATACTATTATATTCCTATTAAAATTTTAGTTTATATGTAATCCTACTTAACTTCAGTACACATTGTTTTTATACCATGAGGTTGTTTTTAATCTCTGCTAACTTTTTATTTAACGTATTTTTTTTCTATTTCAAAGAACCACAGTGTGTTAATTTTTATACTGCTATAAAGATACTACCTGAGACTGGGTAATTTATAAAGAAAAGAGGTTTAATTGACTCATAGTTCTGCATGGCTGAGGAGGCCTCAAGAAAGTTACAATCATGGCAGAAGTTGAAGGGGAAGTAAGGCACCTTCTTTGCAAGCCAGCAGGAGACAGAAAACTAAGAAGGCACTTTCAAACACTTATAAAATCATCAGAAGTCATGAGAACTCACTCACTATCATGAGAACAGCATGGGGAAATTGCCCCCATGATCCAGTCACCTCCCTCTCTCCCTCAATATATGGGAATTACAGGTCCCTCTCTCTACACGTGGGAATTACAGTTTGAGATGAAATTTGGGTGGGGACACAGAGCCAAACCATATCACACAAACCCTTGTTTTATATTTTATAGATTTTATAACAATTTTATAAAATCTTTCTACAATCCCCATGTTATTTCATTTTATGAGGTCTGTTTCTCCTGTGAGTCTTCCAAATGTCAGTGCCTTATTCTTATAATCATGTATGTGTAAAATAAATATTTTCATGCTGGATTATTTCTTTTTTACTTATTCTGAAACTATGATAGCTCTCTTTAAAGAAATTGGCTCAATCCTCAAAAATAATCAAATCCAAAAACACATAAATATGTTAGTCAATAGAATATGGAGACTGACTTGCATCCATTCTCTATGCACATATTTAACTTTCTTAGATGTAAGGCTGTAAGTGAGGCAGAAACACACAACTCATTCCAAATCCAATCTTCGGAGGCATGCATCTAGTGAAATTTCCATGTCCTGAAATGAGCTTCTTTCACCCAATTTCTTAGAACCCTGTATTTGACAACCAATTCCTAGTTTTTCATCATAAATTTTGTCTATAGGGCATGTACTCACAGATAATACACCAGCAGAGAGACATGGAGTTGAGGAATAAGAGAAAAGAGAAATAGAGGCAGAAGGCTGTAGAAGGGGCTTCTGGAGTTTTCAAGTTGGTTCAGAACTTGCATTTTGGGAACAGAGAATAGATTGTGGGAATAGTGAAGAATATTTCCATTCACTTTCAGGTAAGGAGGTTTGTTTCTATCCTGTAGTGCAGCATGGTTGGTGTTTTCAATCCAGTTCTATCAGCCTTGCTGCTAGTGGAAATTCTTCCCTAATTCTGGCATTAGAATAACATTCAGCACTGGCTTTCAGTATCATTTTGAGTTTACTAATTTTGGTGCCTTCTTTTAGTAGGAATTGGAAAAAATTACATCAGGAGATAATAACCATCTTAAATTAGATCTACTCTACCATTAATTTTTCATCCCAAGCTGGCATAAGCAAAAAAGGATATATATTACCTCACATAATATAGAAGTTCATGCATGGGGTTATTTTCATGTATGAGCTCAAATGATGTATTCAGTTCTTGAATATTTTCCATTTCCCAGTCTTTCATATCTACTTTCCTCTGTTGATTTTGTTTCAAGCAGAATTTTCTACGAGTGGCACTCAGAAACTACATTTAAATTCTTCTCCTATGCCAACCACATAATAAAATAAGCTTTTGACTCTGAGATCACTGGCCTCATTGAGTCATGTGTCCATCTGTGAACCAATTTCTGTGGTCAAGGTTATGTGGAACTTTGACCAGTTCTGGGTCAATCAGGGCATCCAAGCTGAAAACCAAGAACTGAGCCAGTCCCACTCAAAACACATGAAGTACAGCACATGGAGATAATTTTGAAAAGGAAAATAAAAGTAGAGTTTCTTGGCAAATGCAATTTACTAAACATTTGTGGGCTTACTTTCTATTTGGATTCATTGAGTTCCATGAGCTAGTGACTAAAGACAGAGACCTTGCAGAATCATGTTCCTTGAATCTAGATTCCAGCAGTGTCTAAGGACTAAGTTTTTTCTGCTTTCCACTATTCTCAGAGCAATACGCAAATATAACATAGTATATGGTGGTATAGTCAATCTGCTTCATTATACCATGGTGCATTTAAATTTATGACTCTACAATGATGGCAATTGTTCTTTGACTGGAAGAGGAAAAATAGCAGGAAATATTTGGAAGGCTTTCTCCATGTCCCAGCATATTACCAGACTTTCACTCTCATCTTTCTGCCTTTGCTGGAACTGACTAGAGCTGGGACATGGATTTCAGGGGTTTTTTTTCAATTTTCCAAGGATTAATGTTATTGGATTCTAATCCATATAGATTTGCTTGTTCACAAAGAGAAGAAGCCTCTGAAAGTTTTTCTACCAAGTTCCTAAAACTCCAGCCCTGATTATCATATTGTCTAGGTTCCAAGATACAGCTCACCATTTAATGGATGTTTTGCTACCACATAATCAGCATTGCAGAATTCCTAGCCTAGAATGGAGGGATACTCATTGTCCTCTATATAAGCTGACTCAGTCAGTTTTACATTATATACCCTATTGTCTTATACTCCATGAACTGAGCCCCATAAGGGAGAATTGGTTCCCCCATAAAACAAATCTGAAATACTATTACTTGAAGAGAGTGACTCAATTCTGAACAGACAAAAATGATGGCTTTCCAATATAAGCAACTACTATGTTAAGACAGTGTGATAAAAGAAGGAAAAATAATACAGTCACTTCAAAAAAGAATCTTCAGTCCAGTGTCTGTGTGAGGAGAGCAGAGGAGAGGAGCCACAAAACATCAGAATTTTACAAGGCAAAGTAAGGTGAATGTCTTAAGAAAAGTGACAGTAGAGGAGGTAAACAGTGATTGGAGAGAATTACAATGACGTTATATCAATAAAAGCATTTGAGAAAACTTGCAAAATTGTGCAGCCTTTTGAAAGTATTGTAATGATAGAAAAGGCCCTACAGACTGCAAAGACAATATGAAAAGGTAGAAAACTATAAGGGCATCCTTATATCCAATTGTGTCTCCTGGTCTTTGCTCAAAAATCACAGGTCACCTATTCTAACTCCTTTTCAGCTGACAATAAATCAGTGTCTTTAAAAATATTTGACATACGTTTGCCTCTCTAAGGCAAGCAGATCAGCTCTATTCTTTATGGGTATTCCGAAAACAAAGGCAAAATTTGCATTACACTTTCCTTAAACAAGAAGATATTCATCACTTTTAACTAACAAGACATTTTATAAGAGGAATATTGTATATCTCAAGCAGTTCACAACTGTGAAAGTCTTGATCAACTCTTAGAGCCAGTCTTCCTACATATCTCATCTTTTTATCTTTAATACACTATTATTTAAACATCAATATTAAGGGCTTCTCAAATAATGTGCCCTCACATAGAGGGTTATCACATAGAGCTATCTATGGTCTTAGTTCCAAGAACGCTGACCAATTGCTTATGTTTGGGTCTCTTTCATAATTTCTTAAGGACTAGCATGTTGACAGTCAGGATCATCCTTAGACCAAGCACAAGATTCAATTTCTTCTCTACTGAAATAAAGAAACCCAGAGGTTATAATGTAACTCTTAAATCTACTTCTGGAAGCAAAGAGAGTCTGAGAAACACTGCCACTAGCTATTTCGGGAGTAGGACTAGCAGAAAACACAGAGTCAAAATTACCAGTAAAAGAGATAGTTCCTGGTTCTATGTTTGCTAATGAAACAATTCCCCAGCACTTCTGTGGACTGAGAAGAAGAACTGACCAAAAGTACAAAAAAGAAAAGACAGAAGCCAGGAAAGAAGGCAAAAAAAAAAAAAAAAAATCTTTTCCATCTTATGCCAGGCACTCACAATGGTAAATGCCAAGTATGAATGTGTGTGTGTGCATGTATGCATGACTAGAGAGCAGAGGCATGTTCACAAAAAGGGAAGAGGCAAGTTTGATTAAAACTTACAATGCAGAGAAGTAGAATTATTAGAAATGCAGCTAGAAAAGTAGGTAGTGGTCATACTGGAAAGGATTTTTGATTCTCAGGTGAGAATTTCTTTCTTAATTTGGGGGAAAACATAGAACCTTTGAAAGTTTGTGATTAGGAGACTTAATATAGTCAGAATTATCTATTGAAAGATGACTCTAGTAATGAACTATAGAAGTAATCCCAGCACTTTGGGAGGCCGAGGTGGGTGGATCACCTGAGGTCAGGCATTCGAGACCAGCGTAGCCAACATGGCCAAACTCCGTCTCTACTAAAAATACAAGAATATTAGCCAAACGTGGTGGCACACGCCTGTAATCCCGGCTACTTGGGAGGCTAAAGCAGGAGAATCACTTGAATCCGGGAGGCAGAGGTTGCAGTGAGCCGAGATTGTGCCACTGCACTCCAGCCTGGGCAACAAGAGCGAAATTCCATTAAAAAAAAAAAAGAAAGAAAGAAAGAAAGAAAGAAAGATGACTCTAGTAATGGCATATGGGTAGATTGAAGCTGGAGGAAATAGAAGGTGAAAAGAGTCACGCACATAATTAAAGGAAAGGTGAAAGATGGCCAACCAAATGTGGCCAGGTGGAACAGCTGCCACCAAGGGACTGAAATGACTGGCACACTCCTAACAGATCTTCAGAGGGAATGCACCAAGAGTGGACAGAGGGAAGACACAGAAGCTTGGCTGAAGGGGGAGGAAGCTGGGACCCCCACCTGAGACTACTGAGCACTGGGATTCAGTCCTGGCCCCTAATGAGTCCAGGGGAGCGAGTGAGGTGAACAGGCAAGGAGCAATCCACTCTTGCCACAGGCCTCTGTAATCCTAACAGGAGGAGATCTTCAGCCACAACACTCAAGTTGGCAAAGAGAGCTGCTTAGACAGGCGGTAGGGGCAGCAAGCCAGCTGATGCAGAACTCAGAGGCTTTGGTGCAAGAGCATGTGTAGCAGAACATGGCCAGGAAAGGGTAACTCCTAATCTTGACTTGCTCTCACAGGAGACTTTAGCCCTGGGAGAACTGTCAGACTAAACTCTGCAGGTGGTCTTGCTCATCAAATGGGGTCAGTACAATCTGAGCACCCCTTGGTCTCCTGGCCTCTCCCGGGGCCAGGACTGGCCATACCTGCTTGCAGGGCAGCCTTGGATTCCCTGGAGGCCTGCATGATAGCTATTGCACTGGTGGACCATGCCTTCACCTGCAGAGAGCTCCAATGGGGCGGCCCCCATGGCCACACACCAAGTCATTTGTTTGCTCCTCACATTTCAGCTTTCCCTAAGAACACGACATACCCCCACATTGCTTTGCCTGCATGTTTGTGCAAGGCAGATTTTGCTTTCCTTGCCCCACCAGTGCACGAATGTGTGTACATGTACCCTGCCCCGCCACTGCTGCTGTGGGAGTATAGTCTGCCCTGCACCTCCTGTATGACTGCCATTGCAGCTGGAGCCTTGGCAGGCATAGGGCAAGCTAGACCTGCTTTCACCAGTGCCCTGCCCTTGAACCAACACTGCTGCCAGAATGAAACTCTGCATAGAGAACAGTGGACTTGTTCCCACCCTGAGTAACCACCCCTGCCTATGGCCCACAGAAAGGGCAAAGAAATCTGTGCCTGCCAGCATCCTGCCCTTTTGCTAACACCACCACCAGCACGGTGGCACACATAGTCACCAAAGAGCCACCCCCACAGCTGTGCTGTCTCGGCCACTGTGGTGAATACCTGCATGGAATCAGGCACCCTGGCCCTGGCACCCATTAGCACCCTGCTGCAACAAATGAGCCTGCACCCTGCCATGCTGCTGCTCGTGCTGCTGCTGGCACATGCTACCAAGGACCAAACCTATTTCCACCACACTGTCAAAGGCTTTCGCTAAACCACCCATTGTAGTGTAGTGACCAGAGGCCTGAGAGTACCTTGGGCACCCCAGTGCAGTGGATTCCTAACCTCGAAAAGCCAGAGAAAAAAGTTCAGGCCCAATACAAGTCCTCCAGAGTTATAGTACACAGTCAGGACTTGGAAGCTGAGTGTAGGCCCCTTAAAACCTTCTAGAAATAAATCCAGTCAGCTGAATCCACTTTATATCACAATCAAACCCCTAAAGACATCAACAGGATTTAAAAAAAAAAATCCAAAGGTCAGCAACCTCAAAGACTAAAGAAACATCATCCCACAAATATGAGAAAGAACAAACACAAGAACTCTGACAATTCAAAAAGCAGAGTACATTCTTTCCTCCAAAAGACCATACCGCCTCTCCTGCAAGGGTCCTGAACCAGGCTAAGGAGGCTGAATTACAGAAATATAATTCAGAATACGGATAATAATGAAGATTATTGAGATGCAGGAGTACACTGAAACCCAAGTCAAGGAAGTTAAGAATCACAATAAAATCATACAGGAGCTGACAGAAAAAAAATAGCTAGTACTGAAAGAATGTAACTGACCTGAAAGCACTGAAAAACACATAACAAGAATTTAATACGGGCCAGGCACGGTGGCTCATGCCTGTAATCCCAGCACTTTGGGAGGCCGAGGCAGGTGGATCACGAGGTCAGGAGATCGAGACCATCCTGGCTAACACAGTGAAACCCCGTCTCTTCTAAAAATACAAAAAATTAGCCGGGTGTGGTGGTGGGCACCTGTAGTCCCAGCTACTTGGGAGGCTGAGGCAGGAGAATGGCGTGAACCTGGGAGGTAGAGCTTGCAGTGAGCCGAGATCGCACCACTGCACTCCAGCCTGGGTGACAGAGCGAGACTCCGTCTCAAAAAAAAAAAAAGAAAAAAAAAAAAAAGAATTTAATAATGCAATCACTAGTATTAATAGCAGAACAGGCCAAGCAAAGGAAAGACTCTCAGGGCTTGAAGACTAGCTTTCTAAAATAAGGCAATCAGACAAAAATAGAGAAAAAAAGAATGAAAGGGAATAAACAAAACCTCCTAGAAATATAGTATTATGTAAAGTGACTGAATCTACAACTCATTGGTATCCCTAAAAGAGACAGGGAGAATGGAACCAACTTGGAAAGCATACTTCAGGATATCATCCATGAGAAATTTCCCAACATAGGTAGAGAGTCCAACATTCAAATTCAGGAAATGGAGAGAATCCCAGTAAGATACTTCACAAGAAGGTCAGCCCTAAGACACATAATCATTAGATTCTCCAAAGTTGAAATGAAAAAAAAAAATGTTAAAAGTAGCTGGAGAGAAGGGTCAGGTCACCTACAAAGGGAAGCCCATCGGACTAACAGCAGACCTGTCAGCTGAAACCCTACAAGCCAGAAGACATTAGAGGGGTATATTCAACTCTTAAAGAAAATAAATTTCAATCCAGAATTCTACATCTAGCCAAACTAAGCTTCATAAGTGAAGGAGAAATAAGATCGTTTTCAGACAAGCAAATGCTTAGGGAATTCATTACTACCTAATGTGCTTACAAGAGCTCTTGAAGGAAGCACTAAATATGGGGAAAAAAGACCATTACCAGCCACTACAAAAACACACTTAAGTACACAAACCAGTGACACTGTTAAGCACTACACTAACAAGTCCACATAATAATCAGCTACCATCATGACGACAGGATCAAATCCACATATATCAATACTAAACTTGAATATAAATGGGCTAAACACCCCAGTGAAAAGGCACACAGTGGCAAACAAGATGAAGAACGAAGATCCATTCGTATGCTCTCTGCAAGAGACCCATCTCAGACACAATGACACCTATAAGCTCAAAATAAAGGAATGAAGAAAAATCTACCAAGCAAATGGAAAATAGAAAAAGCAGGGGTTGCAATCCTAATTTAAGACAAAACACACTTTAAACCAACAAAGATCAAAAGAGACAAGGGCATTGAATAATGGTAAAGGGTTCAATTCAACAAGAAGACCTACCTATTCTAAATACATATGCACCCAAAACAGGAGCACCCAGATTTATAAATTCTTAGAGACCAATGAAGAGACTTAGATATTCACACAATAATAGTGGGAGATGTTAACACCCCACTGACAGTATTAGACAGATCATGGAGACAGAAAATTAACCAAGATATTCAGGACCCGACTCAGCACTGGATCAAATGAACGCTTTTAGACATCTACCAAACTCTTCACCCAAAAACAATGGAATATACATTCTTCTCAGTGACACATGGTAAATACTCTAAAATTGACCACATAATCAAGCATAAGAAACACTCTTCAGCAAATGCACAAGAACTGAAATCATAACCACTCTGTTGAGCCACAGATAAAATTAGAAGTCAACACTAAGAAATTCACTCAGACCCAAACAATTACATGGAAATTGAATATCCTGCTCCTGAATGACTTTTGGGTAAATAATGAAATTAAGGCAAAAATCAAGAAGCTCTTTGGAACTAATAAGAACAAAGATAAAACATAGCAGAATCTCTGGGATACAGATAAGTGTTAAGAGGGAAATTTATGGCCGGGCGGGTGGCTCATGCCTGTAATCCCAGCACTTTGGGAGGCCAAGGCAGGCAGATCATGAGATCAGGAGATCGAGACCCTCCTGGCCAACATGGTGAAACCCAGTCTCTTCTAAAAATACAAAAAAATTAGCGGGGCATGGTGGCGGGCACCTGTAGTCCCAGCTACTCAGGAAGCTGAGGTGGGAGAATGGCGTGAACCCAGGAGGCGGAGCTTGCAGTGAGCCGAGATTGCACCACTGCACTCCAGCCTGGACGACAGAGTGAGACTCCATCTCAAAAAAAAAAAAAAAGGGAAATTTATAGCACTAAATGTCTACATCAAAAGTTAGAAAGATCTCAATTTAACAATGTAACATCACAACTAAAATAACTAGAGAACCAAGAGCAAACCAACTCTAGAAAAAGACAAGAAATAACCATGATCAGAGCTGAACTGAAGGAGATTGAGTCACCCAAAAAAAAAAAAAAAAATCAAAAAGTAAGTGAATCCAGGAGTTGGTTTTTTGAAAGAAATAATAAAATATATAGGCCAGGTAAGGTGACTCACACGTGTATCCCAGCACTTTGGGAGGCCAAGGTAGGCATATCACCTGAGGTCAGGAGTCCAAGACTAGCCTGTCCAATGTGGTGAAACCCTATCTCTACTAAAAATACAAAAATTAGTCCGATGTGGTAGCAGACGCCTGTAATCCCAGCTACTTCAGAGGCTGCGGCAGGAGAATCAACTGAACCCGGAAGGCGGAGGCTGCAGTGAGCTGAGACTGAGCCACTACACTCCAGCCTAGGCAACAGAGTGAGACTTTTTCTCAAAAAAAAAAAATAATAATAATAATAAAATAAAATATATAGACTACTAGCTAGGCTAATAAATAAGAAAGAAGATCTAAATAAACAAAATTAGAAATGATGAAGAGGATGTTACCAGTGACCCCACAAAAATAAAAATAACCATCAGAAACTACTATGAATACTTTTGTGTACACAAACTAGAAAATCTAGAAGAAATGGATAAATTTCTGGACTCATGCTGCTCCCAAGATTGAGCCAGGAAGAAATTGAATCCCTGAGCAGACTAATAATGAGCCCCCAAATTAAATCAGAAATAAATAGCTTACCAAAAACAGCAAGAAAAAGCCCAGGACCAGAGAGATTCATAGTCAAATTCTACCAGATGAACAAGAAAGAGTTGGTACCATTTCTATAGAAAGTATTCCATAAAACTGAGGAAGAAGGACTCCTCTCTAACTCATTCTATGAGGCCAGGTTCATCTTTATACCAAAACCTGGCAGAGACACAACCAAAAAGAAGACTTCAGGCCAATATCTTTGACGAACATCAGTGCAAAAATTCTCAACAAAATACTTGCAAACCAAGTGCAGCAGCACATCAAAAGGCTAATCCACTATGATCAAGTAGGCTTTATCCCCACAAATCAATAAATGTGATTCATCACATAAACAGAACTAAAGACAAAAACTACATGATTATCTCAATAGATGAATAAAAGACTTTTAATAAAATTCAACACCCCATTATGTTAAAAACTCAATAAACTAGGAACTGAAAGAATATACCTCAAAATAATAAGAGCCATTTATGACAAACCCACAGCCAACATTATACATGATGGACAAAATCTGGTTGCATTCACCATGAAAACCAGCACAAGACAAGAATGCCCAACATTCAACATAGTACTGAAAGTCCTAGCCAGAGCAATCAAGCAAGATAAAGAAATAAAGGCCATTGAAATAGAGAAGAAATCAAACTGTCTCTGTTTGCCATTGTAAAGACACATGCACACATTTGTTCATTGAAACAGTATTCACAATAGCAAAGACATAGAATCAATCTACATGACCATCAGTGGTAGACTGGATAAAGAAAATGTGACACATATACACCAATGAATACTATGCAGCCATTAAAAACTGAGATCATGTTTCTTGCAGCATCATGGATGAAGCTGGAGGCCATTATCCTTAGCAAACTACACAGGAACAGAAAAAGAAATACCACATGTTCTTACTTATAATTTTGAGTTAAATGATAAAAACACATGGATGCATTGAGAACAACAGACACAGAGGCCTATGAGAGGGTAGAGGGTAGGAGGAGGGAGAGGATCAAGAAAAATAACTAATGATGACTAGCCTTAATACCTGGGTGACAAAATAATCTGTACAACAAACCCCCATGACACAAGTTTATGTATGTAACAAACGTACACGTGTACCCCTGAACTTAAAAGTTAAAAAAAAACAGATATAGTTACAATAGCTCAAGTGATAAATCATGAGAAACATACTTAAAGTAATGGAAAGAAGGACAGGAGAAAAAAGATAGATTTGACATCCCATTCTGTAGGTTGCCTGTTCACTCTGATGATAGTTTCTTTTGCTGTGCAGAAGCTCTTTAGTTTAATGAGATTCCATTTGTGAATTTTGGCTTCCGTTGCAATTGCTTTTGGCATTTTCATCATGAAGGCTTTCCCATGCCTATGTCCTGAATGGTATTGCCTAGGTTTTCTTCTACATTTCTTAAGGTTTGGGATTTTTCATTTAAGTCTTTAATCCATCTTAAGTTAATTTTTTTATAAGGTGTAAAGAAGGGGTCCAGTTTCAGTTTTCTGCACGTGGTGAGCCAGTTTTCCCAGTACCATTTATTGAATAGGAGATCATTTCCCAATTGCTTGTTTTTGTCAGGTTTCATGAATATCAGATGGTTGTAGATGTGTGGTGTTATTTCTGGGTCTCTGTTCTGTTCCATTGGTCTATATATCTGTTTTGGTACCAGTACCATGCCACCCATCTGACAAAGGTCTAATATCCAGAATCTAGAAGGAACTTAAACAAATTTACAACAGAAAAAAAAACCACCCAGTCAAAAAATGGGAAAAGGATATGAACAGATACTTCTCGTAAGAAGACATTTATGGCTGCATAGTGAGTTCATGTCCTTTGTAGGGACATGGATGAAATTGGAAACCATCATTCTCAGTAAACTATCGCAAGAACAAAAAACCAAACACCGCGTATTCTCACTCATAGGTGGGAATTGAACAATGAGATCACATGGACACAGGAAGGGGAATATCACACTCTGGGGACTGTGGTGGGGTCGGGGGAGGGGGGAGGGATAGCATTGGGAGATATACCTAATGCTAGATGACACGTTAGTGGGTGCAGCGCACCAGCATGGCACATGTATACATATGTAACTAACCTGCACAATGTGCACATGTACCCTAAAACTTAGAGTATAATAAAAAAAAAAAAACCATTAAAAAAAAAAAGAAAAAAAAAAAAGAAGACATTTACGTGGCCAATAAACATGAAAAAAAGCTCAACATTACTGATCATTAAAAAATGCAAATCAAAACCACAATGAGATACAAACTAGAAAATCTAGAAGAAATGCCAGTCAGAATGGCAATTATTAAAAGTCAAGAAACAATAGGCTGTGAAGAAATAGGAATGCTTTTACACTGTTGGTGGGAATGTAAGTTAGTTCAACCATTGTGGAAGACCATATGGTGATTCCTCAAGGATCTAGAACCAGAAATACCATTTGACTCAGTAGTGATCCTATTACTGGGTATATACCCAAAGGATGATAAGTCATTCTACTATGAAGACACATGTACACATATGTTTATTGCAGTACTATTTACAATAGCAAAGTCATGGAACCAACACAAATACTCATCAATGATAGACTGGATAAAGAAAATGTGGTACAAATACACCATGGAATACTACAGAGCCATAAAAAGAAATGAGATCATCTGATTTGCAGGGACAAAGATGAAACTGGAAGCCATCATCCTCAGCAAACTAACACAGGAACAGAAAACCAAATACCACATGTTCTCACTCATAAGTAGGAGTTGAACAATGAGAACACATGGACACAGGGGAACATCACACACCAGGGCCTGTTGGGTATAGGGGGCAAGAGGAGGAAACTTAGAGGACGGGTCAATAGGTGCAGCAAACAACCATGGTACACATATATCTATGAAACAAACCTGCACATTCTGCACATGTATCTGGAACTTAAAGTAAAATAAAATGTTTTAAAAAGAAAGAAACAAACAAATGAAAAAAACCCTAGGAACATGCAATGTGTGAAAATGCTTTGTGATGTGCTGTTTTATATCACAGAATGGAACCTGTGCTTTTATTCGACAAGTTCGAAACACTCTTTTTGTAGAATCTAAGAAGTGACATCTGAGCCTATTGAATCCTTATAGGAACATATTCATATCCAGTCCTAAAAACTAGAAACAAGCTAGCTGTAAAAATGAAAAAAAGAGAGAGATAAATCCCTAAGTTTAATGAACTCTCTGTGTTGTCCACTGTTATTCACTGGATTCCTTCCTCGCTCCCTCTTTCCCCTCTCTATTTCTTCCTTATTTTCTTCATTCCTTCATTTCTCCTTCTTGTGTCCCTTTCTTTTTTCTATATTCTCATTCTTTTGGCTATAATTAAACTGATGACAATTTCACCTTAATCAAGATAAGCAAAGTTATTGGGATCTGTTCTGATAGGCTGTTGTTGTCTGAAACTATTTGGCCAATAGGATCCCCAAATTTCCAGAAACATTGGTGTAAGATTTTCTAGGCATTGCCTATTTAGTACTGAGCAAATTATTTTACTTCTATCTGCTTTGTCATTTAAAAAGGAAGCTGACATATGAGATCATCTTTTAACATTTTGCAGCTTGGGAATACTTTATCTGAATAGCTTTTGGTATGCAATAACATTCCAGATCACTTGAAAAACAGGTCAAATTTACGTACACTTTCAAATATGTATTTTTTCATTTATTTTTTATTTTATATTTTGCTTTTAATAATTATTTTATATGTGGCAAGCACAGTGCTAAATACTTTAATATTTTATTATGTAGAGTTTAAAATAGATACAATGGGAGACAAAATAATCAAAGGAACTGTTCACTTAACTTTACCAATATCATAGCAAATGATTTTTAAGTAGAGCTAAATTCCTACCTTTTTGAAATCCCTAATTTTAAAAAATCAGATATCTTTTTGGTTTTGCATTACAATAGCGGAATAATATAACATATAACTTTCCTTTCTTCAGGATATTGGAAAACCCCTTAAAGAAGGCACATTAAGGTGGAGTTCATTTTACTTATTGCTGAACACAAAATATTAATTCCTTCAAATATTCATATATTTTATACCTTAATTAATAGAAAAGCAGACTAAAATTTTTCCACCAATTATTCACTTGCATCGATCCAAATTATTGTAGTATTTGGGTCAAACAGACAATTTTGTCCTTTTAGAGGTTGTATAGTATGATTGTATCATGAGCAAATTATTTGGACAAATGTCAAATGACATTATCCAGCAAGTTATAATCAATAGGTGCTTATTCAACAAATCATTTTGTCCAGAGAGTAGAGCCCCATGTGAACCAATAGTCAAGAATTCTGTGTAACCTCCCTTTTTGCCGTGACTTGCTTCGTGAATTGGAAAAATCAGTTAACCTCTCGGTGCTTCAGTTCACTCATCTATGAACTGAGGAGAGTAACATTTGCCACCTAACTTGCCAGTATTTTGTGAAGGTTAATGAGCTTCAGAGTTTATAAAGTGCTTTTTCTTTCTGGATTGAAAGATTTTTGAAGATTACTAAGTGTCACTGCAATTTTTTTTCTTCTTAAAACTCCACTAAATCTTTTTAAAAATTCATGATATTATATTATAAAATATGCGGTAACATTCTTCTAGTGGCACCATCCCATATTTATCATGTTATAGGGGTAAGAAAAGCATCAGCATCACTGCTTCTGTACTGGATTCACATAACTCATATTATTAGTCTGAACACATTGCACCCCCAATAACATATGCACGTTTGACAGCTGTTTCCAACTTCAACTTAAAATACTTTAGTTCTAACCAGTTTCTCAAGACCCTATCATTTCTTGGCATAGTTTTATAAGTTAAATATTAACAGGAAAAAAAAGCTTCTCCTCTGAACAAATGTGCCTCTTATATAATGCCACAATGAATGAAAAATGTTAAGATCAAGATCTTAACTGAAACCCACAAAAGTAAGATGATTTCATATAAGTGGAAAATCTGTGCTGTTACTTTGCACTTTTTGAAACAGTTTTGCCAAAGCTCTGCTTGAGATAAGGGAACTTTTAATAGCACAAATTTGTCTGGATCCTGGACTTTAGATGAAGGGTAACAAATTCTATGTTTCATGGATTTTAATTAATTTCATAGTATTTACATATATATAGTTTTTAAATTTGAGCAAGAAAATCATATAATTTTTATGCCATTAAATGAGTTTATCTTGGAATTTTAGAAAGATATCAAGTTATAGAATAAACTTTTTAAAAATTACAGTTTTTCAGCTTACTTTAAAATATTTTAAAAATACCCATTGCACCATATATTCAAACTATACACACACACACACACACACACACACACACACACGAAAAACTTAAAGGAAAAAATTAAAAATACATATATTTTGCACTTTTGATTTCTCTCTGGACAGGAAAAAGAAACTATCCAAAAAGCCTGGAGGCATAGTACTCTTACGTTTTTTTTCCTGATTATGGAAATCAGTGAAATTATCTATTATGGTTTTAGTTCAAAGTAAATACAAGTGAAAGTCAATATTATCTGAAAGTTTACAGAAAAAAAATTCCAAAATAATTTTAGATTTTTTTGGGCACCATCTATCCAAGGGCTATCACTGACAAAGGATTCATTTCTTCGATTTCCCAAAATGAAAGTAATACATAAAAGTAAAATGGAGAGATTTTTAAGATTATCACCTAGATACCAACATGTCCTTCTTTGTTCCTTCCTAGTTTGCCAACCAGCCTCTACCCCCAGGTCTGTATGGATGTAGATAGAGGCACTTAAAATGAAGGGCAACAGAAATTCAGGCTCCTGCAAGAAGATACAAGGAGTTTGTCTCTTAAACCACAATCTAGTATTGTAACTGTGACTGGATAGTCAGATAGCCAAATAAATTACACAGGGATCCTTAATTTAGAGCAGGTAATTTATAAAAAGCAAAATTTGGGTTTAATTATTTTTTTTCTCCTCTTGGGGCAATATAATGCTGTGGTTTCCATGTGCCAGTTCTCAGACCAGAGATGGTTTTGGACAAGATGAGAAAAATAAGACAAAATTTTTATGTATGTGAAGGTAAAATTGTCAATTATCCTGCTTTATAAAATATACCTTTGAGTCCAAGAATCTGCACTTTTAAATTATTTTGTGATAGAGTTACTTTCTTTTATAAAATAGTGGTGATAGAGTAAATTTTTTAAATAATGTCCTTACTTAGCAAAGTTAAAAGTTAGAAAAACTATGTTGTTCCTGGTTCCTTCACACTACCACTTTTTTAAGAAAATATATTCATCACTAAAATCCAAGTCCAAAACTCTTTGTTTTAAATATTATATAATAGCTTCAGATAGCTTAAGAAAGCAAGATGTATAATATCATTATATATTAAGTTGGTGCAAACTTAATTGTGGTTTTTGCCACTACTTTTAGTGTGAAAGTCAATATTATCTGAAAGTTAATGACTTAGAGAAGTCATTAACTTAGAAAAAATTTATTATCCACTAAAATATACATTAATATGAAAAATAAATGCTGTTTATATTATATGTAATATTCCTAAAGAGGACTTTTAAATGAACAAAATTTGATACGCGATATGTAAAATTGATGCCTTTTTCTGTAAAAGAATTATGATTGCTTTGTTTCATACATAACCTATGATTGGTATGACAAGATTTTATTAAAAATACATGAGATAAAAAAAGATTATTTGGGGACAACAAATAAATGCGATGATGTAAATTAATCAGCAATTTCTCCCAATAAGCCAAACCAACCCAGACAGTCCACCCATGTTATCTGACCACTGTCAGCTGAGGAACCCAAAGCCCAGACCACAGAATAGTTGACTAAAGTATTTTCCAAACATACAGATGCTGTTTTGGGGGTGAGACATTTCAAAATCAGACATACCAGTTCTTTATGATAATTTCGTTTTTGGTAGAGGAAGATAAACTTTGTGGCTGGTAGAAAAATTCTGGATACCTTCTAGATGCTTAAAAAATACAGGTTGGAAGAAGTCTCTATTTTTGTTACACATCCCAATTTCCAAAATTTTTTGGATTTCTTCGAGCTAGTAAGATGCTGGCATCATATGAACCCTTGCGTAGCATTGTAAATATTTTAATAGGAAAAAGGACTCACTGCAAGTTATCACAGCTTTCTGGCTGATTACTGTGAAAGATCTTGCTTGTTTTGACCAAATCTGCCCAGAAGAGTTTTAATGTCCAGCACTAAGTAGATAGAGTTCTTACTAGCTTCTGAATGACAGTTTTATAAGGCCACATTTTTTAAAAATTGCATTGAATCCACGAGCTTGTTTTTCCCCTGTGTATGTAAAGCTTGGTTACATTGTGGAATCTTTTCTGAAACTAACTTTATCTGCATATTTTTGGTCTCTGTAGATGAAAAATGTTAGTGCTGGAAAATTCCTGGACAGTGATTTTAGAGGTGCATGACCATAAAAGCAAAGTATTTCCTTCTTTTCACTGCTTGACTTAACAAAATAAACTCATTTTAGTTTTATAAAATGTAGGCAATAATTCAATTGTAAAGGACCCTTAATTTTACTTTAAATGATTTAATCTTTTGCCTTTACATAACCTTTTAGTATTATCTTTTAATAAAAAGGATAGGCTGTATAATGGTACTTTTGGCATTGTAAAGAGGATTTGAAAATATCATTTTCAACCCAATATATATTTCATGCTAAGTACATGGACAGGAATATAATTATTGGAGAATAATTATATTAAGCTTCCAATCAGAAGGCTGAATGTGCTGATCCTCATTCTTTCACTGACTTCATTCTTTTTCCAAGTTTATTGTGCTATGCCAAGGTTTCTCACCTATGAAAGGGGACTACTTAGGCCAAAGCAAAGAGAAAGAGAGAGGGGAGAGAATAGACAGGTTTTAGAATTTCGTGTGCATAACAGTAGGCTCCACATTTTCCCTAGTATTTAATGATATACAGTGCATTGGGAGGTCTGTCTAAATTGGTAACGATCTCAAAATATTAATAAACAAATATGACAGAAATGGACACATTAAATAAATCTGTGCTTATATTATTTTCAAATGATAAAATTAAACAATATTAACCAACAAAATGTAGGCTGTTCACTGTATTTTTTTGTCAATTTAATTTTATTTAATCTTGGAGGAAAATATTTTTTGAAGAGGAATAGATTGTATTCAATTAAGGTATATGTATACATATGCCTTGTTTATAAATATATACATAGATTATATAGAAAGTGCTAGAGAGAAATTATTTTGGGGGAAGAATAGATCACTTATATCAAGCCACTGCCATCAGGTACTTAATAGTCAAATAGACTCTCTATTAGACAAGATAACTCAATGGCTTTGTGTTTGTGCTTATGGAGAGCGTATTTGACTCAAAACAAAACCAGGAGCTATCTTACCTAAAGTTATTCTCAATCCAATGACTTGGTTTCCTTAAAGAAAGGACTAAACTGGGGCTATATGTATCTTACACATGCTATCTGACTCAGTTAGGAGTGTCACTGCATTTTGGTGGGAATTTTTGCTCTAAATTTATTGATAAAGTGCAAATAAAATATATTTCCATAGTGTCAAGTTACAAAGAAGAAACTTTTTATTTTCCTCAAAGAATACCAGTATGATACTGCCCAAGAATATATAAGACCCTACTCAGCAAAAGACCCAGAGCATTCTAAAAGTTCCTGAAGTTGTGCCTTGTATGTCAGACTCTCCAGCACAATTGAAGTCACTTCCTCACGCCAGACACATATTCACAAAAAAGATTCAGTTAACTAGTTTCTTGAGGTCCTCATGATTTTGTTGTTTTCATATATAAATGAAAGAAAGAAAAGTAAAAATTTGATGATATGAATTAGTTTGTGATTACTGGGTGTATTAGTTTGCTATAAACTAGACTATTTTAGATTGCTATAGCAAAGTACTACCAACTCGGTGGCTTAAACAACAACAAAGTATTGTTTCACAGTTCTGGGGGCTACAAGTCTGAGATTGAGATGTTGTCAGGGTTAGTTCCTCGTAAGGGCTGTGACATGGTTTGGATCTGTGTCCCCACCCAAATCTCATGTCAAATAGTAATCCCCAATATTGGAGAAGAGGCCTAGTGGGAGGTGATTGGATCGTGGGGTTGGATTTCTCCTTTGCTGTTCTGGTAATAGTGAGTTCTCATGAGATCTGGTTGTTTTAAAAGTGTGTAGCACCTCCCCTTTCATTCTCTCTTCCTCCTGCTCCACCCATGTAGGACGTGCCTGCTTCCCATTAGCCTCCTGGACATAGTA